>NC_000003.12:103705574-104008604 GCF_000001405.40 Homo sapiens
AACTACTATTATTATACTATTTAGGGCAGAACTTCTTCTTATAAATCACTGAGGAAAAATCTCTCTCAGACCAAATATTAATAATTAATTAAGAATTGGCTAGCTCTATTGAAGAATGGAATCAGGCACTTTGAAGTTATAAAGAAAGTTACTAGAACAAACTCTTTCAGTATGCATTGAAGTAGAAGCAAGAAAGAATGAAAGAGCAAATGTTTCTTAACGTGTGTGGAGGCCTGCCTGTCTTTCTGCAGGGCAGATATGAGAGTCTGAAGGTCTGCACAATGTCATGAGAGAGCAACAGTCAATCAAGTGAAAGTGCATTATCTCGGAGATATTCTGCTGTTGGATAACCATACTAAAATCTGCCAATACTTCTAGTACTAGTCTATTATTTTAAGGGCATCAACTGGTCCTGAATATATACTGATGAAGAATATGTGGGCTGACATTTTAAAATACAGGCAGAAGAGCTGTGCTATAATCTTAAATGATACCCAGCACCTATAGGGATTCTTCTAAATGCCATTGGAATTATAGTTCTCAACACTCTGATTGAAATTCAAGAGGAAGGGCCATCTAAATATTCTCACCAAACTAGCTCATTTCAAAAGATCCCTTAAAGCCACAACTCAATCTGTGAAATGGGAAAGCAAATCGTATTTAATCTCATTTTCCTGTAATTTCATTTGGAGCCCCTCATACCATTTTTATTGGCATGTCTATTCAAGCTGAGCCTCTTCTGCCAAATGCACCAAGCCCTCATTATCAGAGAGATAATAAAAATTCATAGAATAATTTCAATATTACCTGATATTTGTTTAGGATTTTTTTAAAAAAATATTTCACCCACATTTTTAACTGGCATTAACTTCAACAACACAACATGTTTTTATTGTCTTCATTTTACAGAAAAAAAATTAAGATTTTGATAAATTAGACAATTAAACCAAGATAATTGAGTTACCTATAACTGCCATCTCACTCCCTGATTCATGTAGAGAATCTCCTCGGTATTTTTTTTTTTATTAGTTCATTTATTGGCAAAGGAGCCCCCTAGATAAATAATAATGTATCCACCAGACATGATAGACCTAAGTATGTGCAAATTGCTTTTATTCTTCTTGGGAATTGTTAAGAATGACTCTATTTAAAGCAATTCAAATTGTGTTACAAAGTCACCAAAAAGACACACATTAAAGAGGAGCACACAAGTAAAGAGTGTTTGGGAAAGACATACAGAACTGCTCACATTTTATAAGGATAGCAGGAAGCTGCTGATGGCACCTCCAGTTCAACAGCAAGCCTGGGCTTGTGGACATTTTCACTGGATAAGCAAAGGGAATATAATTTGCAGCAATATTAAGCATTCATTTAGTTCCTCTTGGGAATAAACATTTTGTAATAGCAGAAAACTGTTTTAAGAAGATTCTCGTTTTAGACTATCATAAGGTTTGTAAGGTATTACAGAAGAGAATTAAGTAGAACTAATCCTCATCCCACCACCTCCTTATCTGAGCTTTAACTTAGGGGCATATACTTATCTCAAGCAAATCAAACATTTCCCACAGACCTTGTTGAAGGTCTACTTTGCTCAGACATCTTACATTGAAAGCAGAGTCAACATGATAACATGTTTCAACGTCTGAGCATCATAGTCACAACAATACCGTGCTGGGAATTATCTTAATCCCCTCAAATAATTTTTTAAAAAGTATCACTGTCTTCTAAGCAAATGTTTTACAATGCAAATATTATTCCATTAACATTAAATTTTCCAGAATTCATAAAGATTGCATAGTAACTACAGGCGGAGCAAACTGAATGCATATGGTTTCAGGTCTTTTTGAGTAGAATTGTGTTCAGAATTGAGTGTCGAGGCCTATACTTCAGTTAATTTCAGCTAGATAAATTTGCATACATAAAAAATAGGCACAGTGGCTGACACCTGTGTTCCCAGCACTTTAGAAGGCCAGGGTAGGAGGCTGGCTTGAGCCCCGAAGTTTGAGACCACCTGGGCAACATAGCGAGATCCCATCTCTATAAAAAAATTAAAAATTAGCTGGGTGTGGTGGAGTGTGCCTGCAGTCCCACTTACTTGGAAAGCTGAGGTGGGAGGATAGCATGGATGTGGGAGGTGAAGGCTGCAGTGAGCTGTGAACCTGCCACTACTCCCCAGCCTGGGAGACAGAGTAAGACCCTGTCTCAAAATAGTAATAATAATAATAATAATAATAATCTTCATCATCATCATCATCATCACCACATTTCCAAGTATAATATTGAACCATGAACTACATAGTGAATAATAATCCATGATATATATTAGAGACGGTGATGGAACACTATAAGTCTCTTTTCTGAGTACTTATCATGTTTTAATTACTGCCTGGCTTCAATAAAAAACACCAAGTTATGTTCTTGCTGGTTCACAGTTATATTTTGAATCCTAAGCAATAAGTGGGACACATGATCATTACATAATTCCTGGTTGATAGATGATTAAAAAATTGAAATATGAAAGACTAAAACAAAAGAGAAACACAAGCAGTCTTCTCTTCTCCAAGTCCTGTGGCAGACAAAGTCTTGCACATTCCCCTGTACCACGACTAATAGATCACACTACTACTAACTTGGAAATAATGAATCTTTTATATAGCTTTGCTGTCTACTTATTTAAAAAATCCAAATTCCTTAATACCAAGAGATGAGATAATTATTAAGTATAATGTATAACTCACTGATCATGAATTAGATGTTCCACTATGAAGTCTTTCTAATAATAATTAGATGGCCTTGGATATCATACTTTAATAGGAATATGTGTCTATTTAGAAGTCTAATGTTTGCCTTTATTATTTAATTACTCATGAATTTTATACCTGGCAATTTTACTAATCCAGTGGATATTCTAGAGAAACTGGCTGCCCATGTGAGAGGAGACTAGCCAGTTACAAATAGCGGGTTTTATTTAACCTACTTCCCCTATCAAAACAAAAACAAAAACAAAAATAAAAATAAAAACCCACAAACTTAATATTTCACTTTTCATTTTTAAATATAGGCATTTATGGATTATTTTTAAAAATGATAAAACAGTTTATCTTGTAACACTAGTCTTGAATTATAATGTGGGGGACAATCATTTGGACATGAGTTTTGGGCTTATCCTTTTGTGTCTATGCTCTAATATCTCTGCAATCCATCTGATTTCCTTTATCTTATTTACTGCCTTCCTCTTGCAGCCATGTGACTTTATTATCTCAACACATAAATAACACTAATAGGAGTTCAAGAGTTGACTTTCAGGTTTAATTGGGTAGAAAAAGTTTCCTAATAAAAATTAACTAATGGTAAATCTTCTTGAGTTAACTTTGAGTATATATAAAGCAGATTTTTTATGCAAAAAAATAAAAGAGCTTGGTAAATATGTTCTAGGGAACAGTAAGTATAAATACTCATTATAAGCTTTCTACAGAATTCATTTGTATAGCCAAAGAAATATTCCAAATATCTGGCCTTCTTTATATTGGATGAATTTGTTAAATATTTAATGTTACTTAGATATGATATTTTAAAATTTATTTAAACAGAATGTATGTTTCACACAGCCTTATCTCTAGAAAATATAATTTAGAAAAAATGTTTTTAAAATTTCCATATAATGGCTTACTTCACAACATACATATTTATATACTTAAATCATAGTTATTAAGAAGCTCAGAAGCAATTTAGTTTGAAACAGAGATTGCTTCAATAATATTCTGGTATTGACAGTAGTTATCTCTCTTGTTTTAATATGTACATATACATATACATACACACATACATAGAAAATACCATTTCATACTTTGACTATGTAAATAATATGGGGAGTTTACAAAATATAGTTTTTGCATAAAGAATCAAAAGCCACAGAAGCTTTCTAAATCTTTCGCATAAAATTTTTCAACTCAGTATTGCTGTAGTCTGAATGTATGTGTCCCCCAAAGAATTATATGTTGAAACCTAATCCTCATGGTGATGATATTAAGAGGCAGGGCTTTTGGAGACAACTAGATCATGAGTGCAGAGCAGTAGTGAATGGAATTGGTACCTTTATTAGAAAGGCTCAAGGAACTAAGTCCTCATCAGACAATGAATCTGCTGTTGCCTTTATCTTGAACTTCCCAGCCTTCAAATTGTAGGAAATAAATTTCTGTTGTTTATGAGTTACTCCCTCTATAGGATTTTGCTATAACATCCTGAATAAATGAAAACTAGTATTATTGAAGTAGTTTAGACGTTCAGGAAATACTGATATAATTTTAATGATATTATTTTACCCATGAATAAATCTTTTTTTCTACTTCCTCCTTTATTTTATTTTATTTATTATTATTATACTTTAAGTTTTAGGGTACATGTGCACAGTGTGCAGGTTAGTTACATATGTATACATGTTCCATGCTAGTGCACTGCACCCACTAACTTGTCATCTAGCATTAGGTATATCTCCCAATGCTATCCCTCCCCCCACCCCCCACCCCACAACAGTCCCCAGAGTGTGATGGTCCCCTTCCTGTGACCATGTGTTCTCATTGTTCAATTCCCACCTATGAGTGAGAATATGTGGTGTTTGGTTTTTTGTTCTTGCGATAGTTTACTGAGAATGATGATTTCCAATTTCACCCATGTCCCTACAAAGGACATGAACTCATCCTTTTTTATGGCTGCATAGTATTCCATGGTGTATATGCGCCACATTTTCTTAATCCAGTCTATCTTAATCCAGTTGGACATTTGGCTTGGTTTCAAGTCTTTGCTATTGTGAATAATGCCACAATAAACATACGTGTGCATGTGTCTTTATAGCAGCATGATTTATAGTCCTTTGGGTATATACCCAGCAATGGAATGGCTGGGTCAAATGGTATTTCTAGTTCTAGATCCCTGAGGAATCGCCACACTGACTTCCACAGTGGTTGAACTAGTTTACAGTCCCACCAACAGTGTAAAAGTGTTCCTATTTCTCCACATCCTCTCCAGCATCTGTTGTTTCCTGACTTTTTAATGATTGCCATTCTGACTGGTGTGAGATGGTATCTCATTGTGGTTTTGATTTGCATTTCTCTGATGGCCAGTGATGCTACAGTAACCAAAACAGCATGGTACTGGTACCAAAACAGAGATATAGATCAATGGAACAGAACAGAGCCCTCAGAAATGACGCTGCTTATCTACAACTATCTGATCTTTGACAAACCTGAGAAAAACAAGAAATGGGGAAAGGATTCCCTATTTAATAAATGGTGCTGGGAAAACTGGCTAGCCATATGTAGAAAGCTGAAACTGGATCCCTTCCTTACACCTTATACAAAAATCAATTCAAGATGGATTAAAGACTTAAACGTTAGACCTAAAACCATAAAAACCCTAGAAGAAAACCTAGGCATTACCATTCAGGACATAGGCATGGGCAAGGACTTCATGTCTAAAACACCAAAAGCAATGGCAACAAAAGCCAAAATTGACAAATGGGATCTAATTAAACTAAAGAGCTTCTGCACAGCAAAAGAAACTACCATCAGAGTGAACAGGCAACCTACAAAATGGGAGAAAGTTTTTGCAACCTACTCATCCGACAAAGGGCTAATATCCAGAATCTACGAACCCAAACAAATGTACAAGAAAAAAAACAAACAACCCCATCAAAAAGTGGGCAAAGGACATGAACAGACACTTCTCAAAAGAATCCATAAATAAATCTTAAATAATTCAACTACTCTCTTGAGACGAAGCACATCTAAAACAAATTCCGATAGATATTTAAAAAATAAAAATATAAAACGCAAAAGAGATGTGAATAATGTCTACACACCCAGTGAATCCCCTCTTTTGCTCCAAACCCCCTCCTCTATATCCATCGTCTGAAGTTCAGAAAGAGGATAAAAAGGCTGAATGAGGATAGGTAAACCATCTTATACAAGCCTGGTATCCACATTTTAATAGCTTTGTAAATAAAGGATGACCTCCAATATACTCATGGGGATGTCACGGTTTCAGGTTCCCATCCTTTTGTATCACCTTTAGAGTTTCTATTGGATACAAAAAAATCTAGAGGACTGCGATGGTACAAACATATCATTTTCCCTTAATCACGTTAGAGGCAACACATCTTCTTATGACAATTTTTAATGGGTAGTGCAATTTGATAATATTCTTCCTGTGTCTGCATAATGCACTCTATTGCTTTGCTAAATTGAGTTTGACATTTGCTTTATTTGTCTGAGTTATATGTTCATGATAACCGCTTAGCATGTTTCAGTCAAAGTATTATCTTTCATAGAAGTTTTATGAAGCTAACCATACACATTTTGAAAGCGCACTAGAGAGAAAAGCAAATTTTCTGTAATGATAAATCTGATAAAATATGTAATGCAAAATGAATTAAGAAGTAACAGACATTCACATGAAACTTGTGGATAAATTCGGGCTCCTATATCCACACTATAAGGAGATTTAAAATAAGCCGGCATTTTATCACTGTAATTGCAAACTATGCTGTTTGGTTTGTGGCATATTCTTAGATTGTTGTAAAATACTGTTATTCAATTTATGTTTTACAACTGCTAACTTGTAAAAAATAGAGAAATGCAAGATAATTTCTACATAATAAAATGAAAATGAAACAGTGATAGGAAGTTAGAATATTATTAACTTTAAATTTGCCTTCATATACGAATGTGTGAAAAAAAAGCTGAGCTGACATGCATTTTGCAAGATAAATAGAAATGGAACACGAATATGAGACATTGTCTGATAATTTATCTTACCTTGGCCCACCTCCCTGTTCCTATACTACTATCAGACTTCAGTCCATTGCTACTTATTACCTGAGATATTTTAATAGCTTTTTAAATGATCTCATTTCCAGTCACTTCCTGTCTCAGTTTGCTTCACAGACTACTGTTAGGCTCAACATCCTGAACTGCATTTGTGTTCATGACTCATTTCAGCTCCCCAACACTAGGAGCTTTACTTTCCAACAGTCTGAAGTTTAAATCTTTAGACTGAATCAAGTATTTTAATACTCTGATTTAAATCTATTTGTTCAAAAATATTACCAAACATTTCAAGGTCTCCTCTTTTCAAACAAATCAAACTAATCACTATAAAGTAATTACTCTTCCATTCATTACTGGAATGGCTTTCTCTCCTCCATGACATGTGTAAGTCCCAACTGTCTCTTACAGACTATTTAAAGTACCACTCACCTCTTAAATGTTCCCAGAATTTACATCTCTTCTGGAAGCAAACTTTTCCTACTGTAAATAGAGGTAGGACTCTGTCTGCCACTATTGGATAAAAATGTTCTTCCTTGAAATACTTATGAAGTAATTAACCATGAGAGTGTTTGTTTAAACATATTTTTGAATGTACACAAACACAAATATATTTATTCATTCATCTAGCAGAATACCTTTCTAATTAGGTACATAGTCAAGTATACTTTTCTTCTCTCTTTTTTCACTGCTGTATAGTCCATGACTGTTTATCACTGCAATTTCCTTAGCATCTAATCTAGTATCTTCTACACACTGAATCCTCAATAAATATTGGTTCAAGTAGCATGTGGTCTACTTTCAGCCCTTTATTTCTTTAAAAATGTTCACATTAATTATACCAAATATTGTTTTATTATGGTTCATATTATGAAAATGTCCAGTGTCCTGGCTATACTGTAATGCACAAATGGAAATAATTTCACTTCCCAGGATCAAAGAACCATTTCAAGTATTCATAATTATTTTCTTAGCTTTGCTAACCATAATAAATAAATATTTTCAAAGAAGAAATTAAGTGTACTCTTTTTTATCAAAAGAGAATATATCAAAGCTGAAACTGTCATAAGTACCTAACAATGGAAGTTATTGTTTCTTTTATTATACTTAGCATGGGAGCAGCTCCTCCATGTTTATATTCGATAGCTTTGCATTGAACTACCCAGTTAGCCTTACATACAGTTATAAATGGACTGCAATCATTAACCCAATATCTAAAATTATTACACTCAAAGATATATGTAATCAAATAAAAAACAGATATGGTGGTTCACTAATTATACTTGATTTATTCCAGAATACAGAAGACAAAAACACTTCCCAGATAATTTTATGAGGCTAATATTTATGAAAACAAGACAAAAGTTAGAAGCAAGCAAGAAGAAAGAGAGAAAAGAAGAAGTAAAAGAAAGAAAGAAAGAAGAAAGAAAGAAAATAAAGAAAGAAGAGGGAGGGAGGAAGGAAGAAAAGAAAGCAAGAAAAAAGAGACAGAAAGAAAGAATGATAAAAAAAAGGAAAGAAAGAAAGAAAGGAAAGAAAGGAAAGAGTGAGGGAGGGAGGGAAGTAGGCAAGGAAGGAAGGAAGGAAATAAGTTAAGTCAATATCTCTTCTAAACTTAGACACAAAAATTCTTAACAAAATATAATCAGATTCAAATCAAATCCAAAATGTATAAAATAATTATACGGCATGACAAAGTGGATTTATTACATTTATGCAAGGAAGTTTCAACATTTGAAAATAAATCATACACTTCACTGCATGAACAACCATATCTGTTCATTTAAAAAGAACATTTGACAATATCTAACACAAATTTATAATAAAAAATGCTCAGCAAATGAGGAATTAAGAGGAGCTTCCTGACCTTGATAAATAACATCCAGAAAAAACGTATAGCTAATATCATGCATAATGGTGAAGGACAGAATTATTTCCTCCTGATTGAGAACAAGACAAAGCATCATACTACCTGATTGCAAAACCTATCATGAAGCTATAGTAATCAAAACAGACTCAGAGTCCACGGGGACAGAAAATTAAGTTCAGAAACAAATTTAAACATTTATGGTCAATTAATTTTTGATGAACATGCCAGGAACAAAGAAAAAGGAAGGGAGAGACTTTTTCATTAACAGTGCTGGGAAAACTGGATATTCACATGCAGAATGAAATTACACTCTTATCTCACAATGTATAAATAATCAATCTCAAATTGATTTAGAACATAAACCTATGACCTGAAACTGTAAAACTAATAGAAGGAAACATAAAAGAAAAGTCATCTGATAAATGCTTTTTTTGGACATGACTTCAAAAGTACAAGGAACAAAGCAAAAATAAACAAATGCGATTACATTATACTAAAAAGCTCCTGAAAGACGAAGAAAACAATCAACGGAATGAAGAAAAAAACCTACAAACTGAGAGCATATATTTGCAAACCATACATCTGATAAAGGGTTACTATCAAAAATACAAAGAAACTAAAATAACTCAAAAATAAGGAGACAAAGGTATTGAAAAATGGCCATTTACGTAATGAATAGACATTTCTCAAAAGAAGATAAATGGCCAACAGGTACATAAAAAGAATACTCAATATCACTAATTAGGGGAATTCAAATTAAAGTCATAATGAGATATCCCCTTACAAGTTTTAGAATGGCGATGATAAAAAAGATAAAAGATAAATGTTGGTGACAATGCGGAGAAATAATAACTCTTTTATACTGTTGGTGAGAATGTAAATTAGTGCAGCCACTATAAAAAATAGCATGGATGTTCCTCAAAAAATTAAAAACAAAGCTACCATATAGTCCAGCAATCCGACTATTGGCTATATATCTAAACATATGAAATCAGTATGTTGAAGAGATTTGCACTTTGATGTTTACTGATGTATCATTTGTCCCATCCCCCAAGCTTTTATAACCACCTTTCTACTCTCTATTTCTAACAGATAGACTTTTTTTTTTTTTTAAGATTTCACGTAAAAGTAAGATCATACAGTATTTATCTTTTGCTGGCTGGCTTATTTCACTTAGCATAATGTCCCAGGTTTATATATGTTGTCACAAATGGCAGGAATACCTTCCTTTTTAAGGCTGGATGAGATTCCAGTATTTCTATTTCATTGTGTGTGTGTGTGTGTGTGTGTGTGTGTGTGTGTATGACCCTTGAACAATGTGGGGGTTAGGACTACTGACCCCCTGCACAGTCAACAAAAAGCTGCATATAATTTTTAACTCTTCCCAAACTTAACTACTAATAGTCTACTTTTGACTGGAAGCCTTAATAATAATATAAACTGTTGGTTAGCACATAATTTGTATGTTATATATATTAAATGTTGCATTCTTAAAGTAACCAAAAGAAGATAAAATATTATTAAGAAAATCATAAGGAAGAGAAACTATATTTACTATTCATTAAGTCAAAAAGGATCATTATCAATGCCTTCATTCTTGTCTTTGTTTATTTTTATTTGTATTATAACTTCTGGGGTACATGTTCTGGATGTGTAGGTTTGTTAACACAAGTAAACATGTGTCATGGTTGGTTGCTGCACCTATCAACAAATCACATATGTATTAAGCCCAACATGCATTAGCTATTTTTCTTAATGCTCTCCCTTGAGTAGGCCAAGGAAAAGAAGGAAGAAGAGAGGTTGGTCTTAGTGTCTCGAGGTGGCAGAGGCAGAAGAAGATCCACATATAAATGGACCCTCACAGTTCAAACCTACATTGTTCAAGAGTCAATTGTATATACCACATTTTATTTACCATTTATCTTTTTGCTCAAGATTGCTTTGGCTGTTTGAGATCTTTTATGATTCCAAACAAATTTTTGCATTTTCTCTATTTCTGTGCAAAATATCATAGATTGCCTTATTTTTGATATACGGTTGTTCATAGCAGTTTCTTATAATCCTTTCTATTTCAGTGGTAACAGTTATGTGCCTTGTCTTTTATTTATGATAGAATTTATTAGAGTTCTGTTTTTTTTCCTTGGTCTAGTTAATGTTTTATTGATTTTGTTTGTCTACTCAAAAATTATCAACTCTTAGTTTTATGATCTTTTCTATGGTTTTTATATTCTCTATTTCTGCTCTTACATTTACTATTCTCTTTATTCTATCAACTTTGAATGTAGTTGGTTCTTCTTTTTCTAAACTTTCTAGTGTAATCTTACCTTGGTTATTTGAGATTTTTCTTCTTTTCCATGTAGATATTTACATCTCCAAACATCTCCCTTATAACTGCTGTTGCTACATTTCATAAGCATTGATGTATTGTGTTTTTATTTTCATTTGTCTCAACATACTTTTTATTTTCTCTTTTAATTTTTTATCTGATTAAGGGGTGTTTAAAAGCATGCTCTTCAATTTCACCATATTTGTGAATTTTCCAAAATTCTTTCAACTATTGATTTAAAGTTTCACATCATTCTGGTTGAAAGTTGCTTAATGTGATTCTAGTCTTCTTAAATTTGTTATGACTTGTTTGGTAGCTTAACGTGATCTATCCTGAAGAATGTTCTATGTGCACTTAAGAAGAAAGTGTATTCTGCTGATGTTGGATGGAATGCTCAGTACATTTCTGTCAGGTCCATTTGTTCTATATCATAGTTCAAGTCCAAAGTTTCTTTCTTAATAGGGACATAGGGATAATATGTCCATTGCTGAGAGTGATGTATTGAAGTGCCCTACTTTAGACATATTGCAGTCTATCTCTCTTTTTAGATCTATTATTAATTATTTTATATGTTTAAATGACTTGATAATTGGTAAATCCATGTTTACAATTGACACGTCTTCTTGAAGAATTGATTTATTTGTCATTATATAATGAATTTTTTTGTCTTGTTATGCAGCTTTTGGCTAAAAGTCTATTTTATTGAGAGAGAGAGTGCTATCCTCGTATTTTCATAAAATGTAATTGTCTTTTTTTTTACTTTAAATCTTATTAAAGATGAAATGAGTCTTTTGTAGGCAGTATATAGTTAGATGTGGTGTTTTTATTCATTCAGCCACTCTATATCTTTTTATTTCAGAATTTAATCTATTAACATTCAAGATAATTATTGATAGATAAGGACTTAATTTTGGCATTTCATTAAATACTTTCTGGTTGCTTTGTAGATCCTTTGGCCCTTTCTTCTTTTGTAATTAAATGATTTTCTCTAGAGGTATGCCTTGATTATACATGTGTATTAGTCCATTTTCACACTGCTGATAAAGACAAACCTGAGACTGGGAAGAAAAAGAGGTTTAATTGGACTTACAGTTCCACATGGCTGGGGAGGCCTCAGAATCATGGCAGGAGGTGAAAGGCACTTCTTACATGGTGGTGGCAAGAGAAAATGAGGAAGATGCAAAAGCAAGAGCCCATGATAAAACCATCAGATCTCATGAGACTTATTCACTACCACAAGGACAGTATACGGGAAACCACCCTCATGATTCAAATTATCTCTCACTGCGTCCCTCTCACAACATGTGAAAATTATGGGAGTTCAATTCAAGATGAGGTTTGGTTGGGGACACAGAGCCAAACCATATTATTCCATCCCTGGCCCCTCCAAATCTCATGTTCTCACATTTCAAAACCAATTATTCCTTCCCAACAGCCTCCCAAAGTCTTAATTCATTTTAGCATTAACTCAAAAGTCCACAGTCCAAAGTCTCATCTGAGAAAAGGCAAGTCCCGTCCACCTATGAACCCATAAAATCAAAAGGAAGCTAGTTACTTCCTAGATGCAATGGGCATATAGGTATTGGGTAAATACAGTAGTTTCCAATGGGAGAAATTGGTGAAAACAAAGGGGTTACAGGGCCCATGAAAGTCCAAAATCCACCGGGCGAGTCAAATTCTAAAGCTCTAAAATGATCTCCTGTGACTCTGTATCTCACATCCACGTCATGCTGATGCAACAGGTAGGTTCCCATAATCTTGGGAAGCTCCACCCCTGTGACCCCCCTCCTGGCTGCTCTCACAGGCTGGTGTTGAGTGTCTGTGGCTTTTCCAGGTGTACAGTGCAAGCTGTCAGTGGATCTACCACTCTGGGATCTGGAGGACAGTGGCCCTCTTCTCACAGCTCCACTACGTGGTGCCCCAGTAGGAACTCTGGGGGTGGGGGTGGGAGCTCTGATGATATTTCTTTCCCGCACTGCCCTAGCAGAGGTTCTCCATGAGGGCCCCTGCCCCTGCAGCAAAATTCTGCCTAGGCATCCAGGTGTTTCCATACATCTGAAATTTAGGTGGAGGTTCCGAAATCTCAGTTCTTTATTTCTGTGCACCTGCAGGCTTAACACCATGTGGAAGCTACCAAGGTTTGGGGCTTGCATCCTCTGAAACCATGGGCCAGGCTCTACCTTGGCCCTTTTTAGCAATGGCTGGAGAAGCTGGGATACAGAGCATCAAGTCCCTAGGCTGCAGACAGCATGGAGACCCTGGGCCTGGACCACAAAACCATTTTGTCTTCCTAGGCTTCCATGTCTGTGATGAGAGGGGCTACCATGAAGACCTATGACATGCCCTGGAGACATTTTCCCCATTGTGTTGGGGATTAATATTTGGCTCCTTTTTATTTACGTAAATTTCTGCAGCCAGCTTGAATTTCTCCACAAAAATGGGCTTATCTTTTCTACTGCGTCGGGCTACACATTTTCTGAACTTTTATGCTCTGTTTCCCTTTTAAAACAGAATGCTTTTAACAGCACGCGAGTCACTTTGAATGCTTTGCTGCTTAGAAATGTCCTCTGCCAGGTACCGTAAATCATCTCTCTCAAGTACAAAGTTACACAAATATCTAGGGCAAGGGCAAAATGCCACCAGTCTCTTTGCTAAAACATAAAAAGGGTCACCTTTGCTCCAGTTCCTAACTAGTTCCTTATCTCATCTGAGACCACCTCAGCCTGGATATATTGTTCATATCACTATCAGCATTTTGGTCAAAGCCATTCAATAAGTCTCTAGGAGATTCTAAACCTTCCCACATTTTCCTGTGTGTGTGTGTGTGTGTGTGTGTGTGTGTGTGTGTGTGTTTTGTTTGTTTTTTTCTGAGCCCTCCAAATTGTTCCAACCTCTGCCTGATACCCAGTTCCAAAGTCAGTCCACTTTTTCAGGTATCTCTTCAGCAACACCCCACTCTACTGGTAACTATTTACTTTATTAGTCTGTTTTCATGCTGCTGATAAAGACATACCCCAGACTCGGGAGAAAAAGAAATTTAATTGGACCTGCCATCCTACATGGCTTGGAGGCCTCAGAATCATGACGGGAGGCAAAAGGCACTTCTTTCATGGGGGCAGCAAGAAAAAATGAGGAAGATGCAAAAGCAGAAACCCCTGACAAAACTTTCAGATCTCATGAAACTTATTCACTATCATGAGAACAGTATGAGGAAACCTCCCCTATGATTCAAATTATCTCCCACTGAGTCCCTCCCACAACACGTGGGAATTATGGGAGTACAATTCAAGATAAGATTTGGGTGGGGACACAGAGCCAAACCATATCAATATGTTTTATCTTTTGTTTATCTAATAGTATAGGTGTTTGCTTTTTTGTTATCATGAGGTTTATATCAAACATCTTTGAGTTATAACAAGCTATTTTAACCTAATAACTGTATAACTTTGTGTATTTAAAAAACCTCTAGGCATTTACTCCATTTCCCCAATAATTTATAATTTTGATGCCACAATTTACATCTTTTTTATTGTGTGTCTTTTAAAAGTTATTGCTGCCATTATTATTTTCATATTTTTGTCTTTAAAAGTTTATACTAAAGATACAAGTGATTTACACATCACCGTTACAATATTAACATATTCTGAATTTAACCATGTACTTTTTTACCAGTGAGTTTTATACTTTCACGTAGTTTTGTGTTACTAACTAGCATTATTTTCTCTCATCTTGAAAAATTTCCTGTAGCATTTCTTGTAAGACAGGTCTGGTAGTGACGAACTCCTCAGCTTTCATTTGTCAGATAGTATTTATCTTTCCTTCATTTCTGAAGAAGATCTTTGCCAGGTAAAGCATTCTTAGTTGGCAGTTTTTTCATTTTTCTTTCTTTTTTTTTCCCCCTTCAGCACTTCGTATGTAACATCCCACGTCCCACCTGGTCTTTTTTTTTTTTTTTTTTTTTTTTTTCCTGAGAAGTCTGCTGTTAGCTTTATCAGAATTTTCTTTAATGTAATATGCTCTTTTTTTTTTTCTATTTCAAGAATATCTCTGCCTTTGATTTTTGTCAGTTTCATTATGATATGGCTTGGTGTAGTCTTGTTTGGGTTGAATTTGATTGGAGAAATTTGACCTTCCTGTATCTAGATATTTATACCTTTCCTCAAATTTGGAACGCATTTTGCTGTTTTTATTTAAGTGACCTTTTTGTTTTATTGTTTCTCTCTTCTTCTTAAATGTTTATAATTGAATATTTGCTCTTTCCATGCTGTCCCCTAATCCAATAGCTATCTTCATTTTTTATTTTTTATTTTTTCTTCTCTGATTGCATATATTCAAATAACATATCTCCTAGTTCATAGCTTCTTTCTTCTGTTTTAACAATACTGATTTTGATGATTTCTGCTGCATTTTTTAATTTTTCATTTTATTTTTTAGCTCCATTTTTTTTTAACAGTTTTAGTATCTCTGTTAAATTTCTCTGGTCATTCATTATTACTTTTAAAAAATTTATTTTGAATTCTGCTGTATTTTCTTAAAGTTAGCTAATCTACCTTAAAATGATTATTTTTAATTTTTTTTTCAGGTAGTTTGTATATTTCCATTTCTTTGGGATTGGTTACCTGAAAATTATTAGATTTTTTTTGGGTAGAGTTATGTCTCTTTGGTTTTTCATGTTTCCTGTTGCCTTTCATTGATGTTGGTGCATTTGGTGGAACAGTCACCATTTTCAGACTTTACTAGCTCACTTTGTTACGAAAAGACATGCCACTCAAGGGTGCTGACTGGATGCAATACAGCAGTTCTGGCACCAGTGAGGATACAGCTTTATATGATCTCTGCTGTGCTGTCAGAGGAGTTCAGTGCTGATGAATATCACAGGGATTCTCAGTAGCCATCGCTGTGGATGTCTGCAGTCGTGTTGAGGGTTTTTGGAATGTTCAGTGGGAATGAGGGCTGACATTCTGCAGACCTCTTTTACTCCCATGAGGGAAGTTGTCACTGACAGGACCCCTGTGGGCACTGGGTCTGGATTGCTAACCTAATCATATTGTGGTGGTACCATTGGAGCAGTCAAGAAGGTGAGACCTGAAGCAAGGGCACACTTGGAAAGGCTACAGCTCTTGGATATGTAGTAGTAATGCCACTATGTTTGGAGGTGAGGTGAGCATCCTTGTAAAGGAGTCAGAGAGCCAAGAAAGGAAACAGAGGCATGTGCATAATTTACAGTGACTTTAGGTTTTAAATGGAGTTTTGATCTCTGTGATGACTGAACTGGTATTCAGCACACAGGCATGCTCAGAGACACATTGGCACCAAGACCCAGAGTACAAACTAGCTTGCTATGGTGATGGCTCTGGTTTCTGAGAGTTAGGCATTTGCTGTGCAGCTACAGAGCTCAGGTCTGAAGGGAGAGCATACGTTGGGTAGACACAGCTTGGGGTGGTCAGGGCGCATGTACATTTAGGAACAGTAGTGGCTCCTTTCCCAAAGTGGTTCAACAGAGGTTGATTCTAGAAGGAGGTTATAGTTGTATATCCCTCCCTGTGATTTCATAGTAGAATGGTTGTTGGTTACCTCAGTGGCATAAGATACCAATATTCTCTGTGGATCAAGACTCAGAAGACCACAATGGCTCCCACTGCATGGCTGCTACTGATAGCCTCTATTTTTCTTCTTTTTTACTAACCATCTGGCACTGCAAGAATAATGAGCTCTCTAGAGTTTCTTTTGGTGTGAATATTCTGGGGTTTGTTTGGTTGGTTGTTTTTCTACACTGTGTTGCTGCATATTCATTAATGGGCTTCTGAGCCTTCTCAGGGCTAATTTCATTTGTGGATAGCTATACTTCTTCTTCTTTATTATTATTATTTTTTTTTGTAGGGAGGTGAAGGCTGGTATCTCCAAATCTACTATCTTGGTGACTTCACTCTCTCAATAGCATTTTTATATGCTGACAATAAACACACAGAAACTAAAAATTAAAAACAAAATACCAGCTGAGTATAGTGGTGCACACCTGTAATCACAGCACTTTGGGTGGCCAAGGCAGGAGGGTTGCCTGAGCTCAGGAGTTCGAGATAAGCCTGAGCAACATAGGGAGTCCACATCTCTATCAAAAATAATAATAAATTAACCAGGCATGGTGGCATGTGCCTGTAGTCCAACCTACTCAGAAGGTTGAGGTGGAAGCATAGATTGCTTGAGCCTGGGAGGTCAAGGCTGCAGTGAACCATGATTGCACCATTGCACAGAGCCTCGTTGAGCAAAACTGTCAAAAGAAAGAAAAGAAAAGAATAGAACAGAAAGAAAATGAAATAAAAAAAAGAAAAGAGAAAGAAAGAAAAGAAAGAAAGAAAGAAAGAGAAGAAAGGAAAGGAAAGGAAGGGAAAGGAAAGGAAAGGAAAGGAAAGGAAAGGAAAGGAAAGGAAAGGAAAGGAAAGGAAAGGAAAGGAAAAGAAAGGAAAAGAGGAAAAGAAAGGAAAGGAGAAACACACTTGCAGTTGTTCCCATCCTCCCCAAAATACTTAGGTAGACACTTAGCAAAACATATATAGAATCTGTATATGAAAATTATAAAATACTGATGAAAGAAATAAACAAAACCTAAGTAACCTGAGAATAAATTGTGTCTGTGTATTGGAAGATTCAACATTATAAAGATGTCAGTTATTTCCAATTTGACTAGAGTTTTGATGCAATACCTACCAAAATTCACAGATTTTTGAATACATATATAAGCTTATTTTTCAATTTGGAAAGATGAAAGATCTGGAATAGCTAAAACAAAAAAAAGAAGAAGAATATAGTTGTGAGAATTACTCTATCAGATAATTTTTTAAAAGCAGTAAAAGCAATTCAAATAAAAAAGGATACCCTTTTCAACAAATGCTGCTGGAGTAATTGGACATTCATAGGTAAAAATATGAAGTTCTACCTAAATCTCAGACTTTATACAAAAATTAACTCAAAATGGGCTACAAACTTAAATGGAAAATGTAACTATTAGAAAAAAAATACATAGATGAAAACTACGGTAAACTATGGCAAATCCAAGAGTTCTTAGACTTATCATTCAAAGCATAATCCATAAAATAAAAAAAATTGTTTAATTTGACCCCATGAATATCATAAATTCTGGCTCTGTGGACAGCCATGTGAAGAGGATAAAAAAACAAGCTACTGACTGGAAGAAAATACATTCAAATTACATATCTAACAAAGAACTAATATCTAAAACGTATAAAAACCTCCCAAAACTCAACAGTTAAAAATAATCCAATAAGAAAATAAGCAGAATATGAGACCAGACATTCCATTGACAAGGGTAAAACTGCTGACCAATAAGCACACAAAAAAATGTTCAACATCATTAGCCATTTGAAAAATGCAAATCAAAAACATAAAGGATGTTACTATACATTTAGAAGAATTGCAAAATAAAAAATAATGACAATAACAAATGTTGTCATGGATTTGGAAAAACTGAATCCCTCATGCATTGCTGATGGGAATATAAAATACTATAGCCTAAAAATGTTATACCCTGAAAAACAGAAGTTTCAGATAAAACTAAACACACAATTTCCATTCAGCTCAGTAATTACACTCTTGGACATTTATTTCAGAAAAAATTAAATTCAAGTTCACACAAAAACATGTACATGAATGTTTTTGATAACTTTATTCATAAGAGCCAAAAATTTATAAAAACATAATCAGCTCATATATACTTCGGTCTTTTTTTATTGGGGGTTGGGGGAGACAGGGTCTCACTCCATCACCTGAGCTAAAGTGCAGTGGCAGGATCATAGCTCACTGCAACCTGAAATTTCTGGGCTCAAGCAATCCTCCTACTGAAAGTACAAGCATGTGACACCATATCCTGTTTTTCACAGTTTCCTATTACAGAAACTGTGTAAATATATGCCATGAAATACTACTTAACAATGCAAAAAGGGGCTATTCAGGTATACTACAACTTGTATAAATCTGCCAGAAATTATACTGAGTGAACATATCATTCATAAAGACACCTGATTTACTAAGGAATTCAGCCTTGACTTTCATCTTCAGGCCAGAGTTTAAATATGAAGAACTTTTAATACATGAACTGAGAGCTGAACAATATATGACTTAAAATTATGCTTGATTTATAATCTTCATTCATATTATTAAAATTGTCATGAATGAAAAATTTAATATATATACATATATATTTAATCATTGCTATTCTAAGTATGATGCTAGGTTCAGCTGCAGTGATATCATCTGAAAGCTTACTGGAAATGCAGAAGATTGTGCTCCATCCAAAGGCTAACTAATCAGAATCTTCATTTTGCAAGACTATACTTTAACTTTTGAGCATCTCTGCTCTAGAGTAATAACATAAAGTGAAAGACGAGTAAAAGAAACATTTCTCCAAACATCATATGAAAATTGTCAATAAGTACATGAAAAGATGCTCAAAAACACTAAAGAAAATGAAATTTCAAACCACAATGAAATATCCCCTCATAATTAGTAGGATGGTTACTGTAAGAAACAAACAAATAAACATACAAATAGCAACAAAACATAAAATAAATGTTGGTGAGGATGTGCAGAAATTGGAAATTTTGTGCACTGTAGAAGGGATTGTAAACTTGTGCAGCCACTGTGAAATTTGGTATGACAATTCCTCAAAAAATGAAAAATAGCATTTCTATAAGATCAAGCAATATTACTTCTGAATAGTTTAAAACAGTATATTGAAGCTTAATAGCAGTGGTATTCACAATAGCCAAGAGGTAAAAGCACCCAAAATGTCCACTGATAAATGAATGGATAAACAAAATGGGGTATGAATGTGTATGTGTGTGTGTGTGTGTGTGAGAGATATGTGTGTGAGATATATATATACACATTTATATGTATATGTATATTTTCTGATTCCACTTACATGAGGTTTATAATATAGTCAAAATCATAAAAATAGAAAGTAGAATGGTGATAAGCAAGGGCTAGTGTGGGAGAAATAGGTATACCTATAAATTTGTGTATTTAAGTATATGTATGTATACTTAATAAAATATTATTTGACCTGAAAAAAGAAGAAAAGCGTATCACATGCTACAACATAAATGAACCTTAAGGATGTTATGCTAAGTGAAGTCAATCAGTCACAAAGCGACAAATATTATCTGATTCCACTTACATGAGGTTTCTAGTGGTCAAAATCATAGAAACAGAAAGTAGAATGGTGATAACCAAAGGCTAGCGTGGGAGAGAAGGAGTTGTTTACTGGGCATAGAGTTTAAGTTCTGGAGATTGATTGCACACCAATGTAAATGTACTGAACACTACTGAACTGTACACTTAAAAGTTGTTAAGATGGCAAATTTTATGTTGTGTATTTTTACCACAATAAAAAATGTGAAATCTGCATACACAAATATTGAAAAATGTTGGCATAATCTTTGTTATTCAAAAGGAAAAATACAAACAAGAAATAAAACAAAATATAAAAAACTAAAATACCTTCTAGAATCTGGTCACAATCAATCTTGACTACATCATCTCCCACATTTACATATTAATATTTTATTTTAGTCAATATTTTATACATTAATATGCAACCACCTTAATGTTCCTTCATCCTCATCCTTAGTGGAGATGATGACTCTCAACTCAATTGTATTTTGTTTATGATACATTATAAATCATTGTGCTTGAATTAGTCTTCCCACTTTTTATAGTAGGAATCAGGTCTTATTAATAATTATATATTGGCCGGGCATGGTGGCTCACGCCAGTAATCCCAGAACTTTGGGAGGCCGAGGCGGGCGGATCAGGAGGTCAGGAGGTAGAGACCAACCTGGCTAACACGGTGAAACCCCGTCTCTATTAAAAACAAAAATACAAAAAAATTAGCCGGCGTGGTGGCGGGCGCCTGTAGTCCCAGCTACTCAGCTACTTGTGAGGCTGAGGCAGGAGAATGGCGTGAACCCGGGCGGCGGAACTTGCAGTGAGCCGAGACTGCGCCACTGCACTCCAGCCTGGGCGACGGAGCAAGACTCCATTTCAAAATAATAATAATAATAGTTATTATTATTATATATTTAGCTTAACATATGGTATATAGTAGGTTTTCTGTGCTAATTAAATTAATAGAAACACTACTACTTCAGAACCTTTGACCATGCATTTCTCTGTGTGAAACACACACAGGTATATGCACACATGCCATGTGCATGCATAAACATACACAAATTCACATATGTACATGCACATACCTAATGTGTATGTCCCCTCCAAAATACATGTTTAAACTTAATCCCCATTGTGCTGGGGCCGTTTAGGAAGTGAATGTCATGAAGGCTCCACCCTCATGAATAAATCAATACCTTATATTATAAAAGAAGCTTCAGAGAGAGTTTGTGTCTCTTGTTCTTCCACTCTCTGCCTTGTGGGGACACACCCCTCCTTCCCTCCAGAGCATGCAGCAACAAGGTGTCATCTTGGAAACAGCAGTCCTCATCAGACACCAAATATTAGTGCCTGGCCTTGGACTTCCCAGTTTTCAGGACTTTGAAAAATAAGCGTCTAGTATTTTTAAATTACCTAGTCTATGGTATTTTGTTATAGTAACATAAACTGACTAAGGTAACACCCACACTGTATTCCTTATCTAGCAAAATCCTACAAATTTGT
Source organism: Homo sapiens (assembly GCF_000001405.40). Taxonomy (NCBI): domain Eukaryota; kingdom Metazoa; phylum Chordata; class Mammalia; order Primates; family Hominidae; genus Homo; species Homo sapiens. The sequence continues at coordinate 103,727,281 of NC_000003.12, forward strand.
TAACAGCTCGATTGAATTTGATTTTCTTCCCTAATTGTTTTGGCCCCGGAATGTGTCTAATTTTTTCAAATTCTTACTATCATTGTGATACTACTGCAAGCTGATGACATCACCATTTAAATGTTTATTTCTGTATAGCTTATTTTTAAAAGGGGATGGTGGGAAACTATTATTTCTAAGTTTCCACCTGGCTCCTAGGTGAATTATATGATCCAATTACTCCCTCATATATAGAAATAAATATAGATTTTCATTTAGAATTCAATTAAGATGTTCAGTTTAATTTTAGTTAATTAATTGATTCATTGATAGATTATATATGATATTCTTTGCAATACAGCAAATACAAGTTATTTACAATGTTTTGGAATAAACCCACTGAAGGGTGAACTTATGGATTCACTGAAATTTTGCTTTCATTCAGGATCCAGAGAATCATGGCCGTTTTATTTCTAGTTAGGCTTTTAAGAAAGGAAAGACTCATTGCTCAGAGATACCATTTTCCAAACAACCGTGACATGCTGGTTTTTGCTAGTGGACTGATTTTGAGAGGTGAAGCTGGCTGGGCTTCTGGGTCACGTGGGGACTTGGAGAACTTTTCTGTCTAGCTAAAGGATTGTAAATGCACCAATCAGCACTCTGTGTCTAGCTAAAGGTTTGTAAACACACCAATCAGCACTCTGTCAAAATGGACCAATTAGCACTCTGTAAAATGGACCAATCAGCTCTCTGTAAAATGGACCAATCAGCAGGATGTGGGTGGTGTCAAATAAGGGAATAAAAGCAGACCACCCAAGCCAGCCGCAGGTTACCAGTGCTGTCTCCTTCCACGTTGTAGGAGCTTTGTTCTTTTGCTCTTTGCAATAAATCTTGCTGCTGCTCGCGGTTTGGGTCCACGCTGCATTTATGAGCTGTAACACTCACTGTGAAGGTCTGCAGCTTCACTCCTGAAGTCAGCTGAGACCATGAACCCACCAGAAGGAAGAAACTTCCGACACGTCCGAACATCAGAAGGAACAAACTCCGGACACACCATCTTTAAGAACTGTAACACTCACCGCGAGGGTCCGTGGCTTCATTCTTGAAGCCAGAGAGACCAAGAACCCACCAATTCCGGACACAATTTCACAAAAGACACCTCCAAGGAGTTATTTTTGGTAAAACGAACAACACAGCAGCATAACTTTGTGCTTCTCAATCCCACTAGCAAAATACTTTACTCAATAAAATGGGCAAATTAGGATTCAAAAGTCCATAGCATTGCAGTGAACTATCAAGGCTAAAATGACTCAATTGTGTAACAACGTTTATGCGAGGACAAGACTCGGATTGGTAAATTAATTTATAGCTTTGCCCTTTTCTTATTTTTGCATGGTTAATTCTTGTCAATATTAAATTACAGAGGATTTTGTGCTTAATTAATGTGAGGATAAGCTCATCATTGTTTCCATGGAATAAATCTGGTTAGAATGATGATTTTCTGACGTGAGTTTAATATATGCTAATATTACTAACATTTCCATAAATTGCTTTTAAATATCACTGATAATAAATTTAAAATATTTTATTACATATTGAATCATAAAAATGGTTTTTTTAATCATGGGAAAATATATTAATAAAGCATAAACATTTTTATCCATTGTAGAAAGTTAGATTCCTATGTTTCATGGCTAAAATCATTATCGGCAGCAGCAGTAACAGCAGCAGCATCTTTATTTTATCATCATCTTTGTTATTCAAAGTATGGTCTTTGGACTAGCAACATCAGAGCCACTTGAAAGCTTTTTAAAAGTGATTAACCTCAGTTCTTACCCCAGCCTTCTGAAATCTAGTAAACTCCCTAGATGATTTGCATTTACATTAAATTTTGAGAAGACCAACTATCATGATCATCATCATAAACATCCGTCAGTTTGCTACAATAAAGCTTCTGTGCACTTTTAAGTGTTTTTCATTTATTTTGTTTGTTGTTTTGCATCCACTATATCATATGATGTGCTCCAAGGGGGCAGATAATATGTATCACTTATAAAATGAAATGGCATTGTAATAATAAATATCAACTATTTTGGTATCCTAAAAGTAGTGAATACCCATCCTATGAACTGTTCTCCAGCTTAAGGTATAAGCAACAACATGAAGAGGTTGTCGGAATACAGATATTAGATTGGTGGGGTTTGGCTGAGCTTGCAATTCTCTTGCCTTCCTCCTATTTTTATGGATCTAATGTAAACCTGATATCATTTATGAGACTAGTTTCCCTACTGCAGAATATAATTATTTCAGGGTTCAGTGTTAGCCTCAATTATACGTGGGATGTGCACTTAGCAGAACATTAAAATAATCAGACTTGGTAAGAGGCAATCCATGTTGAGCTCTTTTGTAAGCTGCATCTCTGCCATCATGGCCCCTTTGCATGTAAGTCCACTGAGAAGGCACCTACGTTTCTGAGAAAATAAAGAGGCTGATTTACTGCATAATCCATGATGTCATCTTCTGCATAGGATGCAATGTTATAATTTATCTTAGACACAAACCTCTTACTCTGTCTAAAATTTGAAAAATACATCTATATATCTTTTTCCCTTACCAACTTATTACCAATTTTCCAATCTTTTCAAATCCATGACATGGAGAAAAATTATTACTCAGTGTCCACGAAACTATAAATAACTACATATCTCTCCCTTTATCAGCCCTAAACCAAATATAATCTTAGAAGTTTTGGCTACTGAGAAGATTTTCTTGCCTTTATCTTTAAGGACTATACCTGAAAGTGATGATATTTTGGCAGTCTACTTCTAAATCACACAAAACAGTTGGGCAAAGCCATGTGTGTTAGGCAAAAGAAAAACCTCCAAATACATTCACATTCTCATTTAGAGAATTCGTCAATACATTATGCTACATGGTATATATGCCATTTTACACCACTCTAACAAAGTACTATAGACTCAGTGGCTTAAACAACAAACATTTCTCACAGTTCTGGAGACTAGGGAGTTTAAGATCAAGACACCAGACCATTTGGTTGTCTGGGGAGGGCTCATTTCGTGGTTCATAGAATGCCTTCTTCTTGTTGTATCCTCACATGGCAGAAAAGAGGCCAAAGAAGTCTTTAGGTTGTTTTTCTAAGGGTACTAATTTCATTCATAAAGGCTCTACCCTCAACTAATTTTATCTCCCAAACCTTACCTACCTCCTAATACCATCAAACTGGGACTTAGCATTTTTACATATGAATTTTGGGTGACACAACGTTCAGTCCATTGCACTTGGCAAGGTAGAATTAAGATCACATACATACTTAAGCTTGTTATTCAGCTTTTCTTGAGATTAGAAGAGTATATTGGATTGTGCAAGTAGGTCTAGTATAATCACAATGGTCATAAGAGAAAGGGTGGAACAAGATGGTCACAGTCAGAGAGATTTTAAATACTATGCTGCTCTGCTGATTTTGAAGATGGAGCAAGAGACCATGAGCCAAGGAATGTAGAAGTCCTCTAGAACCTGGAAGAGACAAAGAAATACATTCTTACCTGAAGCTTCCAGAAGAAACAAACTCTGCAGACACTTTTAGTCCAGGGAGAACAATTTCGAACGTCTCCAGCACTGTAAAATAACAAATTTGTGTTGTTTTAGGCCACTATGAAATAGGACACCATCTTACTTTTTTTTTTCCTCTGCCCTCTGGTCATAGAGAACTTCCCATGAGGATGTAAGAATCAATTGCAGGAGGAGTTCTAAGGAGGCAGAAGTGGTCACAGTGGAACTATAAGAAGCTTGGTATGCAGTTTACTTGAGCGTTCAAATCTACTCAGGTCCAATGTCAAATATACTACTTCATTCTTAAAATTGAGCACTGCTATTTTCACCAAAATGTATGACTTTGTGGATTAAAAAGATCCTATTATAAAAACAAATCAGGTGTCAATGGCTACTTGAAGTTTTATGATTAATATTCCGTTTCTACCAATGCCCAATATCAAGAAAGAATCTATCCTTAAGGGGTTATATTTAATTACCGAAGAAGACATGTACTTCAATATCCTACGGTATTCTGCCTAGATTCTCTTATTGGTATTTTCCAGAGCTCCATACAACAAGCTACCTGCTATTTCAGCAGAGCATAAGGAAGAAGCAAGAGAAAAACTACCATGCATTAACTACTTAAAGCCCAATATTTCTACTAAGGAACCTTCAGTCTAAACATAAATTTAGTTTTTCACATCCCTGAGAAAGAGCTAGGAATTAGTGAGTAGAGTAGGTAGGTGAAGACGTCTTGTATGAGCTTCATTCTCGGTACTTCTATATACAACATTAGATATTGAGAGAAAGATTGCACAGGTCATTTACAAAGCTCATTACATACTTTTCGCTTCTATTAAATTTTCCATCATCATATCTCTTTTACCTGATAACTAATACAATAAAATAATTAAGAAGAGGAAGTGATACGACAGAAACAAAATTGTAGATACATACATACGTAATACTATTTATATGTTCAGCTTTTACAATGCTCATAAATTTCAAATTCTGTTTTTGAACAAGCACCTGTGCAGTTAAGAGAGACTGTCATATTTCTTGGCTTTTAAAATATCTCTCCAGTTGGAATAATATTTTACAAAACAAGTTAGCGAGGCATTTTAGAACAGGCAACAAGTTTATACTAGAAAACTAATCAAAATTCTTCTTAGAGGAAACGATTTAGTAAAAAAAACAACACTAAATTTCATAAACTACCTAATTTAGATAATATCCCAGGATATATCTCAGAGTTCAAAAAAGAATGATGAGTGCTTGACATAACATCATATATGTTTAAGTAGTAGGAAAATAATGACAAATTCTATGTTATGAAAGCATAGATATAATTTTTTAAATATATGTACTGCTTTGAAATTAGACTCCCACTACTTTACCCAGAGAGCTTTGTGTATAGATTGTGTTGTCTAATTTTGAATGGATGTACTCAAGAGCAAGACAGCACTTAATCATTTCACATGGCATAAAAGAAAACAAATGGTCTCAATAAATTATAAATACAATTAATTATAAACTAATGAATAACTGATGAGCAAGGAACCTTTGCACGTTATTTTTTAACTCATTATATCTGCCTCAAAAGCTTAAAAGATCATTTTCCTGTTTTCAAGAAGTTAAACCAATAGCTCTCCAAGAAAAACATTTGTTTCACACCACAGCCATCTCTAACCTTGAAGCTATTTAGTTGACTTAGTTTGAATCATAACCTCATTAGGTTCTTTAAAAGTCTAAGTGTAACAGGATAAAAAAGGAATCATGTAAATATTCTCTAACTGAAAAGAAATAAGTGACTATCATTCAAATAAAGAATCAGCAGCCTGCACACTAGAGAGTAACACATTTAATCCAAAAAATAGCAAATAGTTTAATGTGAGTGAAATATAGGATTATAGTGTAGAGAATGGTATAATTCACTAGAAGCACAAAAAGGATCAATAGTGACTCTCTGGTTAAGGGATAAAATATGATAGAGTGAAGGGGTAATTGCAAATATTATTGAATATAACCACAAGTCATTATCTAAGAGATGTACCTGGGAGTTTTTTGCTTTTCCCACACTGGAAACATTGCAAAGGCTAGTCTGTACAGCTGATAGCAAGGCTGGATATAGAGATTATAGCTCAGCCTAGCTAAGAACCTAGAGTTAATGCCCCTTAAATTTAAGGCTTACAGACGAGTATGCAGTAATAAAGAGAGGATTAGTATCAAAGAAGGTATCTAAATGGTTAATAAGCATGTGACACTATGCTCAACATTAGTACTCATTCATAGGAATGCAAAATGCAACTATAAGATACCACTTCACACTCACCTGAAAAGGTTAATGAAAAAGAAAATACAAAGAGAGAAGTTTTGGAACACTTGGGATGTTCATATGTGGCTAGAAGTATAAACTTGTACAATCACTTTAGAAAACTTTGTCATTGAAGTAGATCATATATACACAGCTTGCTCCATGACTTCTTTCTTAGGAATATAATTGTATTAATTTTCTAGGTAGGGCTGCTATTAAAAAATACCACAGACTGGGTGGCTTAAACAACAGAAATACATTTTATCACTGTACTGGGGGCTGGAAGTCTGAGATCAAGATTGTGGGAGAGTTAGTGTCTTCCAAGGACCCTGAGGAAGAATGTTTCAGGCCTCTGCCCTTAGCTTGTAGATGACTGTCTTTTCCCTGTATTTTCACATTGTTTCTCCTCTCTCTATGTCTGTGTCCAAATATCCTCTTCTTCTAAGGAGAACACTCGTATTGGATTAGGGCCCATTTGGAACCTTATTTTAACTTAATTACCTCTTCATGGACCCTGTATTCTGAAACAGTCACATTTTGAGCCACTGGAGATTAAGTTTTTGACACCTGAACTTGTGGAGTGGAATACAATTCAGCCCCAGGATTACTCAGAGAAAAATATTTATGTTTATGAAAATCCTGCACAATAATGTTTATTACAGTACCATTCATAATATCTCCAAAGTATAAGTTACCCAAATTAACATAACAAATAAAATGAGCCAATAAATGTTGATACATTTACACTTCAGACTACTATATAACAAGGAACATGGATGGACGGATTTCAGAAAAAGAACAGAAAGGGAAAACATAAAAAGGTCAACATTATGATTTCATATATGTCAAGTACAAGAACAGGAAAAATTAATCTATAACATTAGAAGTAAGGATAGAAGTTACTCTTGGGGGAGTGGGGTAGGATTGTGACAGAAAGGAGCATAAAATGAATTTTAATGCAATATTCCAGGATTTTGTTGTTGTTGTTTTATTCTGAGTGTGTCTGGCTTGTGAAAATATTTTAAGTCATTCCCTTAAGAATCCTGCACATTACTGGTTATTTTTATGCTGTAATACAATTTACAAAAAGAGTAAGTGAATCCACCAGTTGACTGAAACAACTGATGTTGGTGTTTATAACAGACTATTGCACTCTATTATTTGGTACTACCTTAGAGGAGAGTGGTGTGATGACTAATTAAAATTTAAAATGAAAAGTTTGATGAACTATCTTTGTGTTTCAGCTCTGGCCATTCACTAGATTCGGAATCTTGAAAAATCTTTTTTCTTCATTGAGTCTCAAATTTCAACCCCTTCAATTAATGATTTATATAGTCTCTTCTTTTGAAGATCTCTTTCAACTTTAGAATTTTATAGTCTTATTAATTTAGGAGTCAAATGATTGAAATTTGAGTAAAATTCTTTTTAAACATTTGATTAAGGGAAGTATAAAATTCCCATCATTGAGGATAACTATTTCTTAGTTTACTATAATTGAACTCTTAAGATAGCTTAGTTTCTAGAATTAAGGTTAATTTTTAGTTAGTAATTTTTAAAAAATAATTTTTTATTAATTTCTTAATTGTGACAAATGGATTGTATGTCTTTCCAAAGAAAATGTATTTATTTAAAAATAAGATGGTGACATTTAAAAATGTCCACTTGTTGATAACTGATAATATTGGAACTTGGAAAATTTTTCCCAACAACATGTATTCTTAAGTAATAGAAAATATTGGAAATTTTACTAAGGCACAAGAAAGAAACCATGCCAAAGGTCAGATAAGTAGAAAAGAATGCAGTGAATGGCAGAATATTATCAGTGGCGCTGAAAGAGAATTAGGGAAAATTTGAAGTCAGAGATTGATACAGTTAAATTAACTGAAAATAATGATGGGTGTGTGTGTGTGTGTGTGTGTGTAGTAGTAATGTGAAGGAAATTAACATTGTCACCCATATATAAATTATTTCATCTTCTCATTTGTTCAGTTACATATTCACTAAGCACTTAAAATGTGCTAGCGCCCTCTGATTTTGGTGCTCAGCATACATCAGCAAACACACTAAACGAATGTCTTTCCCTTTCTAATTTACCTCCTAGTGAAAGATGACATCGAATAAATAACAAAGAAATCATACCATGTGTATAGGCAAATTTCAGTTTTCAGTATGCGCATGTTGAATGACTTCTGTAAGCTAACAAGAACTAGGAAATTTCAACTTTGGGATTGCCTCATGTATTACACAGCAAAACTAAAACTGAAATGGCTATATTGAACTTTTTGTTTTCAGTACCCATATTGTGATATTTTACCTTGAGGACATCTAGTGCTACAAAAATAATGCCTATGTCCAAAAACATGAAAATATTAATAGGAAGAAAGATGAGCTAAATCACCCTTCAGCAGCAGTTGCCTGATACTGCTATATTCACTTTCAAGAAATATTCATAGAATACAATTGATGTTGGATTCAACAAGATCATTGTGTTTGAAGACAAGTGAAGATAGAAAATGTGAAATATAATGAATAGCTTTCTGTTTCTAAATTCAAGCAGAGGTTTAAGTGTTTTAGGCTTTCTTTGGTCATGAGGTAACCTTTTCAAATTTGATAACAAACAACCTCACAGTTGGGCAATAATATTGCCATGTAAAAAATGCCAGAACACTTAGAGGCAAAACCTACTTCACGTATTTCAACACCTGAATTGTTTTTTTTCATCCCCACAAACTTCAGTTTACCTTTCATTGTTGAAGCAGTTTTTTAAAAAGAGAATAGTAGCATAAATGCCTGTAATTGTTTAAAAAACTACATACAATATTAAAAGATTTGAGATGACTAGAGTGTCTTATAATCTCACAGATGTAAATACTTCCATTTTTTTTTTTCTATCCTTGAAGCACACCATTTGTCCTTGGTTAGGTCACTGAATCTTTCTTGTACGGTTTTATCACTATGCAATTACCTCAATAGCAATAATTACCTTCTTAGAAATTATATGAAGAATAAATCTTGAATTATATAAAATTTAGTAGAAAATGTGATTAGTATAGCAGTCACAGTACAAGGAGTTTGTTGTACTGAGTTTAATTCAGATCAATTCAAAATTAACATTCATTCTTAACATATTAAGACAGTAAATTTATGCAATCTTTCCTTCAAAGATTAGTAAAGAATAAATACCTATGGGTAGTGATGAATTTTTCTTAGTATCTGTAGCCAAGGTTTATAAAAAACAGCTTGCAATATATAATGGAGAAAAATTACTTCTATACTCTGAATTCATTATTCCCAACACTTAGACTTATTACTCAAATACCAGTGTATCATGTGCAGATATCATTGTCCTGGGGAAACCTTACAGTATTGAAATGTCTCCTGGTGCATACTCCAAGTCTGTTATAATGCTGACGTGAATGGTGTCTTATAGCACCAATTAACTATTAACTGTTAATTCAAAAGTGGTTGTTTGAGTAGAATGCAGAAAGGCACGAAAAAAGTTTCAGGAGACATTGAGAATGAATATTTTCACCCATATAAAAATACATTCATCTCCTTATTGATTCAGTTAAATATTCACTAAGCACTTACCATGTGCCAGCCCCTTCTGTTTTTGGTGCTTAGAATACATCAGCAAACATATTAAACAAATGTCTTTCCCCTTCAATTTTACTTCCTACTGAAAGAAGACACCAAATAAATAACATGAGGAAATCATATAGTATGTTAGTTGTTAATAAATGCTATGTGAAAAAGAAAAAGGTAGAGAAGAGTAAGAAGTACTGGAAGAATGAATGGTTCAGGGGGAGGGGAAAGTTGCAATATTAAATAGGGTGGGCAAAGCAGCCTTGATGACTCTGAGCAGCCTTGACAAAAGCAAAGGAGTCAGAAATGCAGATATGAGTGAAATGTGTTCTTATAAAAGGAAATGACCAATACAAAAGCCCTAAAGTCATAGCATGCCTGCTGTGTTCAAGGTGGAGCAAACAAGCCAGTCCAGCTGGAAGCAGGGAGAAGGGCAAGTCATGAGGTTACACAGTAATGGCAGCCAGTCCACGAAGGACCTGGTAAGACACTGACTTTTATTCTTAGGGAAATGAAAGCCATTTCAGATTATGAGTAGCCATAGATCTTTGACTGGTTGTTTTGGGGAAAATAGATTATAAGGAAGCAACGGAACAATCTATTCTAGAGATGATGTTAGCTTTGTACAAGGTGGTCCTAGCAGACATATGATTAGGGTAGATTTTTTCATATATCACAACAAAAGAACTTTCTGATGCAATGGACATGAGGTGTGAGGAAAGGAGAATGATCAAGAATTACACAAAGGTTTTTGTTCTAAGTAATCGGAAGGATGGAATTGCCATCAGGTGACATAAGGAAGAATGTGATTAGAACAACCCATGTTAGAATTTCTAAAATCCCTATGAGTTTGTCACAGTAACATGATTCAGGAGAAAATCAGCCACTTTAAAACATCACAAGACTTCAGACTAATGTCATGACACAAAGTTATTTATTTTAATTTCCATACAAATGACCTTATTGCACAAATAATGGAAGAGATAAAATATTAAAGGAAAATAAAGAGAGGGCAAGACAGAAATAGAAACCTTTTAGGAAACTCTTCAATGATGCCTTTAGGGAAACCATAGATAAAAACTATCCTTGCCAATTATGACAATACTGCACGCATTTTCAGACCATTTTAGTTTTAAAGAATAAGCAAAAACAGGTCAGGCGTGGTGGGTCATGCAGGTAATCCCAGCACTTTGGGAGGCCAAGGTGGACGGATCACGAAGTCAAGAGATTGAGATCATCCTGGCCAACATGGTGAAACCCCGTCTCTATGAAAAATACAAAAATTAGCTAGGTGTGGTGGCGTGCGTGTGTAGTCCCAGCTACGCCGTATGCTGAGGCTGGAGAATCACTTGAACCTGGGAGGCAGACGCTGCAGTGAGCCGAGATCTCCACTGCATTGCAGCTTGGCGACAGAGTGATACTCCGTCTCAAAAAAAAAAAAAAAAAAAAAAAAAGCAAAAACAAACTTAGTTACAACTCCACTATAAAAAGCAAAAAACAGAATATATTTATGGAACAGTGGTTTTCAAATTGCTTTGTAAAACTTCAGGTTTCTCTGCGATTAGGGTTTTTAAGGGAAGAATCAGGCAGGACATAACTTCATGTTTATTGTCTTTTTATTTATTAGCATTCTGTGAATGAGTTTATATACCCAAAAATACTGCTGTCTTTTGTTCAACTCTAAAACCACTGTTGTAGAGGAAGGCTTCTCATTGTATACTTCCATTTAAAATGTGAATTTATTTTTTCTTCCACACTATCATAGATTTTGAATTTGAAGTGAAGTAGAAATAGCAGGGTTGGTAAGAGGAAATGCATACATATTGATGATACTACATTTGACTACTTTTATTATACAAAATGTTCAAAATCCAGCAATAATTATTTCTCTGCTTTTATAGAAGAAAAAGCAATTGTGTATCAGTATTATAAAATATAATTGTCATTATAGCACTTTAAGTTATTTATATCCTATTTGAATTTAAAATTTCCCCACTAAGAGCTTTGGAGTGGTTATTGTAAGTATACTTGATGTTTACTTCCTAGGAACTTTGACCATCATTATAGAAAATGTGAACAGCATATATATACCTGCCCAATTACCTCACATGTATGTGTTTGTTCATTTCAAAATTCATGGGATAACTTTTATTTTAAAAGTGATTCAAGAAAAAGAAGCTAATTTCTGTTTGGAAAAGCTATTTTCTATTGAAGATAAAATGTAAATAAAAACATAGCTAATTATTAAATTTCCAAATTATGTAAAACCGATAGTATTAATAAGATTTCATTTAAAACAGAAAAGCAAATAAGCATGTTTAATAAAATGGCTCCATAAAATTATACTTACCTTTGAAGATTCAACTCTAGAAATTTTAGGTCATTTCATTCAGATGAAATAGTATGAAATCATTGATTATTTTAAGAAGTGACCCACTAATTTGTATCTTAAGCAAGAAAAATTGTTTCAGGCCAACTGAGATTTAATTCCTCTATGATGCATATTCTTTTGGTAAATAGTTCATCATCTTGTAACTGTCAACTATTTGTATGTTATATATTAGCTATTTTGACAGCAACTATAGTTCTCTACATAATTCTTTTTTTTTTTAATTTTTTTTTTGTGACGTAGTTTCGCTCTTGTTGCCCAGACTGGAGTACAGTGACGTGATCTCGGCTCACTACAACCTCCACCTCCCAGGCTTAAGTGATTCTCCTGCCTCAGTCTCCCGAATAGCTGGGATTACAGGCACCCACCACAATGCCCGGCTAAATTTTTTTGTATTTTTAGTAGAGATGGGGTTTCACCATATTGGCCAGTCTGGTCTGGAACTCCTGACCTCAAGTGTTCCACCTGCCTTGGCCTCCTAAAGTGCTGGGATTACAGGCATGAGCCACCATGCCCAGCCTCTCTGCATAATTCTTTATACCTTAATAAAAGTGCACCTTCTGAAAATTCTCATGTCTAAAATGTTTAATGGATGAAAAATTTGTACTTATTAAATTTTTATTTATATTATAGATTGCAATTTTTATATGTTATTAGTAATTAAGAATGAAAGTTTTACAATTATTTTCCGTATAAACATTGTACATATTGTTAATTTAGATTAAAAAAAAACTGTTTTACAGGAGGGAGTGGGACATTCCTTGGTTAAATTTCTCCTCTCATGAATTGTGGCCAGACTGTTTCTGCCAGGATACATTCATTCCATAATGTACTAACATATTATGAATATTTTACCAACAATTGTGCCTTCATGTTTTTGACGCACTGTAACATTTCAAACTTTATAAAGTTTATCTCAACAGTACAATTGGCTATAAAATACTTATTTTCAGTGGAAAAAATTCATTAAATGTTTTAGAATTCATTTGTACTCAGTAATCTTTTCACATGTGTTGGAGATAGCATAAATAATTAGGGCTTAAAGATGAAACAGTTAATTCAACAATAAATATTTGTATTAGTCTATTCTCTCATTGCTATAAAGAAATACCTCAAACTGAGTAATGTAAAAAGAAAAGTGGTTTAATTGGCTCACAGTTCCACAGGGTGTACAGGAAGCATGGCTAGGGAAGCCCAAGCAAACTTACAACATGGCAGAAGGTGAGGGAGAAGCAGGCACTTCCTACATGGCTGGAGCAGGAGGAAGAGACTGAAGCGGAGGTGCTACACACTTTTCAACAAGATCACATGAGAACTCATTCACTATCATGTACAAGGGGGAAATGCGCCCCCATGATCCAGTTGTCTCCCACCACATCCTTCCTCCAACATTGGGGATTATAATTCTAAATGAGATTTTGGTGGGGACACAAATCCAAACCGTATCAGTATCATAAACTGCTATTAATCAAAGAACAATAACAAGATAAGAGGCCTCTGCATTGGAGGTGACAGTCAGTGGAGACCTGAATATTGTGGGAAATCGACGGACTAACTGATAGAGTTTCATTTATTCAGGACCAGGTGTACTCAGGGACCTTTGCTCTGATCACATGGGTAAGTATGAACACACAGGTTGTCGGAGGAGCCTCTGTCTTAGTGTTATATTTAAAAGTCTGGACTTTATTTTGATGTAAATATCTAGGAGATTATTTTTTAAGGATTATGACATTGTTATATTTTATTTTTAAAATGATTATTCTGGAATTGTAAAGATGATAAAGATTATTTCTTTACTTCTTCTGTGATCCCACAGTGGTGGCATTACAGGTGTGAGCCACCGTGCCCGGCCTTACAATTTTATAAAAGGTAGTTGATAGAAAGAATGATAGGGCTTTGTAAGTTTGACAGAAAATGAATGAAATGCTGTGTCTTATGCCTGTAATGCCAGTACTTTGGGAGGCCAAGGAGGATGGATCACTTAAACCCAGGAGTTTGAAACCAGTCTGGCAACATGGCAAAAACCCCATCTCTACAAAAAAAAAAAAAAAATACAAATACAAATTTTGCCAGATATGGTGGCTTCCACCTGTAGTCTCAGCTACTTGGGAAGCTGAGGTGAGAGGATCACTTGAGCCCAGGGACTGAGGTTGCAATGAGCCCAAATGGGGCCACTGCACTCCCACCTGGGTGACAGAGGGAAACCCTGTCTCCAACAAACAAACAAACAAACAAACAAAACAAGACAAAACAAAAACTGCTTTGGGGAAAAACAAATGAATTGAGAATGACATTTCTGGATAGACTCTTCTCCCACCACCACAGATGTGATAGCTGGAAAACTGCAGGTGAGAAGAGTGAGAGGGACTGAAAATTTCTAGAAAAACCTCAGCAGTTTGGGAATCAATGTGGATGAGGCAAATGTAAGAGAGGCAGCTGCAGCTTTGGATTTCTGGATGACAGAATAAAGCAAGAGCCAGAGAGCAATATGGTACTCAAGGAGAATGACTGGACCTCCAGGATGCCTTATAAAATGAAGGGATGAAATTTGCAGGATTTAAAAACTCAGAATTTTGTGTGGAATGTGACCTCAAAACTACTGAAGATTTTCATTTACATTTCTGTGATTCATTTGTCATTTCAAAGACATGTCTAAGGAAGCAAGATAATGAATTCCCAGTGGTGCTTAGAGATGAATTGATACCTAAAAGTGTGAATATCCATCAAGCTAAATATGCTAAATATCCTTTCCTGTTATTCTGAAAGTAATAAAAATTGGTGGACAAATTGCCTGGATTTGATTCTTAGTTCTGCCAATTACTTTATTTGACACATTATTTAATATTTTGGTCCTCAGTTACTAGTTCCATAAAACGAAGGCAGTATGACAGTTACATAGATTAAATGAGTTATATATGGCATATTTTAGTTTTCAACAGACTTAGCTATTTTTATATTCTTCATTATAGTTGTTGTTATTATTTATTTTAATTATTGTTCAAAGGTGAAGAATATCTTATTTCAAATGGTTAAGTTCTAAGATGGTTAAGCTCCTATGTACTGTTTGTACTCACTCAACTCTACCTGGTCATTTCACACATTTCTTTTTCATATGAAGAACTGAAATATATATTCCAGTATTGCCCATTTTAAATGAAGATGTCTTATCCCTGAAACGCATTTAAGGTACCTGAAATAGTGATAAAAATTAATATAATTAAAGGCAATGAACTATATATTATTTACAATAAACACAACTGAATACATATTATACTAATTTATCATTCTGAAATGTAAGTAATTCTGGCCTTATTAATGAGAATCATTTGGGTCATTTGTGTGGAAATGATGCATTACTTATGCATAAAAAAACACTACAGCTATTTAACTCTCAAGACATTAAGTCCTTCTCCCAGATGAGAACAAACATACACACGTGCACACACACCCATACTTACACAGAAATTTATATATATAAAATGTACACACATAATTTTACCTGGATGTTTTTTATTACATAATTTATTTTGTACCATGTTCTGTTTAGAGAAAAAATAAAATATTTCACAAGAAATACTCTTTTTCCAGCGTAACATAGTGAAAAAAAATCACAGGAAATCTAAGACCAGATGCAAATAATACTACCACCAAAGTTTTTGATTGTGGGCCACTCCTTTGAGGGATGTTTTTCAAAATAGAACATAATTTTAATTATGTTAACATTAAAGTTTTTAAAATTTATAATTATTTTATTTTAAATTTGGAAAAATTTGTTTTTCCCCACAATTTGTATATTTATATTGACTTGTATAGTCAGTTAATCTAAAATGTAAGTGCCTTAAAATTAAATTAGTCTTTGTTTTGGATTAAAATATTTTAGAGATATGTGGCATAATTTGGGCATTATCAAGTATGATTCATCCAGATTACACCAGGTTCTTGTTAAGTTTATTAATCACTCTATTATTATTATTATTATACTTTAAGTTCTAGGGTACATGTGCACAACGTGGTTTGTTACATATATATACATGTGCCATGTTGGTGTGCTGCACCCATTAACTGGTCATTTAACATTAGGTATATCTCCTAATGCTATCCCTCCCCCTTCCCCCCACCTCACAACAGGCCCCAGTGTGTGATGTTCCCCTTCCTGTGTCCATGTGTTCTCATTGTTCAATTCCCATCTATGAGTGAGAACATGCGGTGTTTGGTTTTTTGTCCTTGCAATAGTTTGTTGAGAATGATGGTTTCCAGCTTCATCCATGTCCCTACAAAGGAGATGAACTCATCATTTTTTATGGCTGCATAGTATTCCATGGTGTATACATGCCACATTTTCTTAATCCAGTGTATCATTGTTGGACATTTGGGTTGGTTCCAAATCACTCTTTATGTAGGTTCTTTAGTACATAGTACAAATCTTATAAATTGAAAATAAAAAGTAGATTTTAGAACCCTATCTCTAGTTGTATACAGCAGGTCTCCTCTATAGAAAGAATCATTATACGTTACACATGACAGAAATTTGCTAAAGCAAATTCAATAATGAATATATACGATGAAGAGTGTCAATGGCTTTTCTTCTAAAGTGCCTTTAGTTCTCAAATTGAATCCAAATAATACTACATAAAAGGTGTTTCTACCTATTGTGTCAGAGTGTCCAATCATTTTCTTTGTTTATTATCTCCTTCTCACTCCTATACTTCCCTCTTAAAGAACATAGTTGTGCTCTCTTCAGAGTCTGCTTTGAAATTGTTTCCCAAGAAGGCTCTTGATACCACTTTCTGGCCATCATTGATTGGACTACAGGTATTCACTTGTCCCAAGTCAGACTATTGAGATTCTCTTTCCTAGGAAGAAACTATGCACCTGACTGCATTCAGGCTTTGTTGAACATTAAGTGCAACATAGGGCCAATCAGCCATTTTTTACCATGTGCCCAAAGGAGAGAGACAATGCATAGTGAGGAACACCAAGAGAATAAGTGCCAGAAGATTGGAGTGCTCATGTTTTAAAATAATTATCTTTCAGATGTCCAAGTAGAAATGCCAAGGAATCAATGGAATAAACTCATCTCAAGTTTAAAGTACAGTTTAATTTGAGATATTACTTTTGGAAATCATCATATATATGTATCTTTTAGGAAACTGTGAAAAGAGATAAGAGGAGAAATTTAATAAAACACCTTGAATATCTCCAATATTTAAATCTGAGAAAGAGAATGATGTGCTGAGAGAACCAGGAAAGCTGGTGATGGAATTTAATCCAAGTACAAAGATCAAAGACCCAGAGAAGCCTATAATTTAGCTCCTAGTCTGATGCTAAAGGCTGGTGTACGTCCCAGAGTCCAAAGTCCTTAAAACAAGGAGCTTCAATCTGAGGGCAGGAAAAGATGAATGTCTTAGTCATGATAAGAGAGAGAATTTGTCCTTCCTCTATTTTTTGTATTCTATCAGGACCTCAATGGATTAAATGATGCCCTCACATTGGTGAGGGCAGATTGTCTTTACTGTTTACTGATTTAGGTGTTAATTTCTTCTAGAAAGATCCTCACAATCCCAACCAGAAATAATGTTTTACCAGCTATATGGGCAGCCCCTACCCCAGTCAAGTTGACACATAAAATTAACCATCACTAGTTGATCCCTTGTCAATGTGGCTCCTGTGAACATCTCTTTAAGCCAAAATTAATCTCCATATAAACAAACTAACAAGGTCATAATTTCACTTAATATTATACAGTATCATGCATCCAATTGAAAATGAAATGCACAAATCCCTTCCCCAGAAGAGGAGATAATGGCCTTGAGTAATGGTTACTTTTCTCCAGATACCTCATACTTTAAATACTGTGATATAAAATGAGCAATACTTAAATACTGATATAAAATTAATACATCTTACATTACATGATAAGGAAATAAAAATGTAAAGAAAACAAAGACATTCCTTAATACATATATATGTACACACAGATATTAAAAATAAAAGGAGGACATACTTATGACAATTATAGTGCTCATTTCTTTAACTGTTCACATGGTCATAACTGGCACTTATAGTAACCACCTTCTTCGACCACCCATTCTGTATTCCCTTTGCCTTTCGCAAGAACCTAAGCTTGCTGTGATTCTTCACCTGGTGGCAAAACTGAAACATTCATCCCTGAAGATTCTGGGCCACTCATAGTTTTGCCTAGATTGAGTTGTTGTAGTTTTTCATTGACCTTAATTACAAGACATGATCATACTTAGAGACCACCTAAAAGAGGTCTCCTGTATTCCAAACACACTCTTTCTTACCTCCATTATGGAGTAGTAGTTCAATTACTTCTTGGGACTTAGGAACTTCTTGGGACCCTAGTCAATACCATAACTCCCTTCATGGCCTGTGGACTCAGAGGCTTGAGGAACCCAATGTGACTGGCAGTCTTAACTTCAAGTTCAATAGAATTATTATTGTGTCTTCTAGTGGAAGTATTTTTTCCTCTGGAGTTAATATTTATACGACAGCAAAACATAAAGCTACAGGAACAGAAAACAAAAATTTTGCTAGGAGTCGCTAGGGATAATAGTAATGCCACTCCCATTTATCATCCTTTGATTTCTGAACTCGTGATTCCTGGCTATGGGTGAAACAGACACCATGTATTGGACACTGATTCAGAGAATATACAGCCTTTTGGAAAACCCTGAACCAGCCCTGCAAAATATTGTACCTAGCTGACACTGTAACTCAGTCTTCTAAAGGCCATTCTACCCTTATATCAAGCCAGCTGCTTCAGGATGGTGGGGAACATTGTAGGACCAGGAAATTTCATAAGCCTGACTCCACTGACACCCTTCTTTGGCTGTGGTATAAGTACCCTGGTTAAAAGCAATGCTGTGTGGAATAAAATGGCAGTGTAAAAAAGCATTCTATAAGTCTATGGATGGTAGTTTTGGCAGAAACACTGAATGCTTGGAAGACAAATCCAGATCCAGAGAGCCTATTCCAGGAAGGACACAATGATGCCCCTCCCATAATGGAAGCAGTCCAGTGTAATTTACCTGCCATCAGGCTGCTGGCTGATCACACCAGGGGATGGTGCCATATTGAAGTTTTATTCTTGGTCTCTGCTGCTGACACATTCGGCATTCCACGTTTGGCATAACCAGGCTAGCCTGGTGAGTAAAATTCCATGTTGCTGAGCCCATACCTAACCTCCATCCTTGCCTTCATGGCCACTTTGCTCATGAGTTTATAAAGTAATGGCAAGGCTGGGAAAAGAGATTGACTAATATCCAGAGAATGGGTCATCCAATCCACTTGATTATTCAGTTTTTCTCTTGAGGTCATTCTTTGGTGAACATTATCATGAGACACAATTATTTTCACTTTTGTTGTCCATTCAGGGAGGTCCATCTACATACCTCTTCTCCAAATTCTTTGTCACCAATTTTCCAATCATGTTCCTTCCAAGTCCCTGATGATACAGCCATTTCACTATAGCCACTATACAATGAAAGGTCTGGCTTTATTTTTATTTTTTATTTTTTGTTTTAATAGCAACAAGGGGTGACACTGCTCAAAGTTCTACCCACTGGGAAGATTCCCCCCTTCACCACTATCTTTCAGAATTGTCCCAGAAAGTGGATGTAGTGCTATAGCTATCCACTTATAGATGGTGCCTGCATATCGTGCAGAACCATCTGTAAACCAGGCTAGTGTCTTCTCTTCCTCTCTCAGCTGATCACGGGGAACTCTTCATGAGTTGATTTGAATCTCAGGTTAATATATTGTATATGATCTAAGGAAAAACATTTTTTTCTTTTTTCTCACTTATTAAAATATTACATTAATATGTACATCAAAGTATTCTTATGAAATACCATTGGCATACTTACCTAGTACACAATTGGTTCTAAAGTGCACTTTTCTTTTGCTTTTTAAATTATATATGCATTCTAACTGAATGACCTCTTTCACTTTACTTGTGAGCTACTTATATACTAATGCCTTCCAAATGGCAAAAGTCTCCTTCCAAAGTTTTAGACCTGTATTTCAATCATCTATGAATTATACCTCCACCACATGTTCTATGGTTACCTCAAATCTAAAATTGACTTAGGATTTATTTCTCCCAAATCACTGATAATTCCACGGGCTGAGCTTAAATCTTATAAAAATCTTGTACAGCCACAAACATGCTGCAATATCATGCCTCCAAGTCTTAGCATGTTCTTTTTTCTCCTGTTTTAATGGTAAATCTAAAACATTTTGAATATTAGTTTCTCTTCGATGCTTGCCATGAACATCCCGAAGACATCCTAGGTAGTGTGGATTTTTATATTTTAGTAATTTGTTGATATTCACTTGTTTTTGTCTCTGCCAGGCAAAATGTCCCTATCTAAATACAACCCCTATTAAACCAAACCAAAACAAAACAAAACAAAAATTTAAATCTGTTTTTTGACTCAACAAATCAATCCAGGCTATTCTCCCTAGGCTATACTTGAAATAATCTCTTCAAATATCTCCATATCCCAATTTATTTTATTATACTTGGATTCTACCTCTCTCCAAAATCTCACAGGTAGAAAAGTTTAGTTAATCCAGTTTCTGTGCTAGCCACCTCCAAAATGTACAATTTAACAAAACCATGTGTACACTCCCAGCTGAAGCTCCTAGGGCTCTAGATAGAGCTTGCACTGCGTGTTTTTACTTCTCTGAAAAGAATATTTATCAGGCAGTGCATTACAAACTATTTTTGTACATGTCACTCTTCCCATTGAGCTTAACTTCTTAAGTTGTAGTGTGTATATCTTAAACATTTTCCTTCCATTAGTTAGGATAATGCAAGTTCTGTTGTGATGCTTAAATAATTTCTTTTTAATAAAAAGGAAATAAAAATCATGCGCTAATCTTTATTGAAAACTGTACTGGCAACAGTTGTGTTCCTGTCTTTATATATGAAGCCCTGTTGTTATTAGTCCATTCTCACACTACTATGAAGAAATACCTGAGACTGGGTAATTTATAATAGAAAGAGGTTTAATTGACTCGAAATTCTGCATTGTGGAGGAGACCGAGGAAACTTACAATCATGGCAGAAGGCAAATGAGAAGCAGGCACCTTCTTCATGTGGCAGCAGGATGAATTGTGTGCAAGCAGGGAAATGCCAGATGCTTATAAAATCATCAAATCTCGGCCAGGCGCGGTGGCTCACGCCTGTAATCCCTGCACTTTGGGAGGCCAAGGCGGGTGAATCACGAGGTCAGGAGTTCGAGACCAGCCTGACCAATATGGTAAAACCCCATCTCTACTAAAAATACAAAAATTAGCCAGGCGTGGTGGCGAGTGCCTGTAATCTCAGCTACTTTGGAGGCTGAGGCAGGAGAATCGCTTGAACCCGGGAGGCAGAGGTTGCAGTGAGCTGAGATCACACTACCGCAGTCCAGCCTGGGTGACAGAGCAAGACTCCGTCTCAAAAAAAAAGAAAAAAAGAAAAAAGTCATCAAATCACATGAGATTAACTCAGTATCATGAGAACAGCATGGCAGAAACCATCCCCCATGATCCAATTCCCTCCACCTGGTCCCACCCTGGACACGTGGGGATTATGGCGCTTACAATTCAAGGTGAGATTTGGGTGAGGAGACAGAACCAAACCATATCACCTGTTATATACCCACATGCCTTGCCCAGTACCAGTAAGCTCAATTCCTTTAAATGCAGGAGTTGCATCTCAGGACGTAAGACACGTATTAGCTACCAGTCACCTTCTGAGCGGCATAGCTTCAGCTTCTCACTGGTGAGTTCCCTTTTTATATTTCAAACGTGTAGAGTGACAAGTGAGATTCCACATCCCTTTTGTTTTCCATTGTGATAATATTTTTGACTTTCTCTCTTCAATTATATTTGGGCCTGGTAGAAAATTACAGCCTCAAAGCTATTGTGTTTTTCATAGCACAGTTACTATATACCTCTTCTTTATCTAAATTCTTTTATCCTGATTAAAAATCCAATGTTAATTTTACAATCACTTTTTCTAGGAATCTGATTTTTCTTTTGTTTTCGGTTACCTTTCTTCTTTATGCATTGTTTTCTAAAACACTATGATACACCCATGTGTAGACATACTCGCTATTTTATTTCACTCTAACTTGGCATTTATCGAGATATTAAACCTGATGATTAATGTCTTTTCCAAGTTCTGGGACATGCTCAGTCATTATCTCCTCAAAAAGAATCTTTCTATTATTTTATTTTTTAACTGATTTGAAACATTCTTAGTCATATGTTGAGTTTTATTGATGTATTCTTTTCTTTTTTATTTGATAGTTCCAATTCATCTCTTTGTGCGGTATTACTGTAATTTTCAATAGGGTCACCTTTTCACCAATTTGTTCGTCATTTAGTATTATACGCTATTTAACCCCTGCAACAAACGTTGATTCCAGGTCCAGAATGTCTGCCTACAAATCCTTGAGCAATTTATTTAAATTCTGTGTGCCTCAGTTTCTCTTTATTAATGAAGACAATTATATTAAATACTTTTTCTCATTATTCTGAGCTAATGTTTGTATGTATATATATTTCTTACCTTTTATTCATATAGCTAGTCCAGACTCTCAACTCCATTTATCTAGATTGTTTCAATAGTGTTCCATTGCATCCTTTGAAAAACATGTAATTTTGTCTACAGTATATATTAATCTAATATATCACTGCTATATGCATGTTATTATTTTGCACATAATCAGTCCTAGATTATTTTCTCAGGCTAAAGTCTATATACCTGTCAGACATATGGTACACAGAAACCCAAGAAAGTCACAAACATGCATTCACATATACCAAGACAGTGGAAAAAAATAAATAAAATAATATATTTTAGGCAAAGTATTCTCTAAACCAAAATATTGGTGGAGTTTATTTTCCAAATAGAATGTTGAATTACTCAGCTTGAAGTATAAATATTTATTAGGGGTGTGATGGCTCATGTCTGTAATCCCAGCACTATGGAGGCTGAGGTGGAAGAATCAGTTGATATCAAGAGTTCTAGACAAGCCTATACAAATAGCAAGATCCTGTCTCTATGAAAAGAAGAAAAACAAACAAACAAAAATATTTACTAGATTGAACCATGTGAAATTAATATATTGGCCTGTTTTCTTTCTTTATGTTTTGTCTTATTTCCTTTTTTCTTCCTTTCAGCTAAACAATAGATAACAGGAACATTTTCAAGTGTTTTCGCATAATGGCAATCATTAAAAAGTCAGGAAACAACAGGTGCTGGAGAGGATGTGGAGAAATAGGAACACTTTTACACTGTTGGTGGGACTGTAAACCAGTTCAACCATTGTGGAAGTCAGTGTGGCGATTCCTCAGGGATCTAGAACTAGAAATACCATTTGACCCAGCCATCCCATTACTGGGTATATACCCAAAGGACTATAAATCATGCTGCTATAAAGACACATGCACACGTATGTTTATTGTGGCACTATTCACAATAGCAAAGACTTGGAACCAACCCAAATGTCCAACAATGATAGACTGGATTAAGAAAATGTGGCGCATATACACCATGGAATACTATGCAGCCATAAAAAAGGATGAGTTCATGTCCTTTGTAGGGACATGGATGAAATTGGAAATCATCATTCTCAGTAAACTATCACAAGGACAAAAAACCGAACACTGCATATCCCACAATAGGTGGGAATTGAACAATGAGAACACATGGACACAGGAAGGGGAACATGACACTCTGGGGACTGTTGTGGGGTGGGGGGAGGGGGGAGGGATAGCATTAGGAGATATACCTAATGCTAAATGACGAGTTAATGGGTGCAGCACACCAATATGTCACATGTATACATATGTAACTAACCTGCACATTGTGCACATGTACCCTAAAACTTAAAGTATAATAATAATAAAATTAAAAAAAAAAAACAAGCAAACAGCAAACCGGTGAATTCTTTTTGTAGCACACATAAGGCTCAAAATGTTAATGTCCTTATTATATGAACCGTCCTTATAAATCAAAAAGAAAAACATTAACAACCCAGTATAACAATGGGCAAATTACATATACAGAGAACTCACAAATAAATGACCGATAAACAAATGGAACGATGCTCCAGATTGTTAAAAATCAATGAATAAAAAAAAAAAACAACTATGAGTGATCAATGCTTCCCCAGGTAGGTTGAGAAAGAATTAAAAGATAAATAGTATCAAATATCGGAGAGGATATGGGGAAACAAGCACTCTTATACCCAGTACACATTAGTATAAATTGGCCCACCTCTTCTGGTGAGCAACTATGTAATGATTCAAATATTTAAGTATGCACACTCTGACTTAAAACCACAAATTCTAGAAATTTATTGTAAAGAAATAATCAACAAGTTAAAAGGGTATTTACTGTAGCATTGTTTATAAGAATAAAAATTAGAAACATCTTAAGAATCCCTCGATAGGGGTTGCTTTTATTTATATATATATATATGTATATATATATATATACATATATATGTACACAATTTGTAAAAAATGAATTTGAATTATAAATATGGATAACGATAAAGGACCAATCCGGCCTGCTGCCTATTTTTTGTTAATTAAGCTTAGTTGAACTCCTGCCACACCTATTCATTGACTCATTGGGTGTGGCTGCTTTTGTGCTCAAAGGTAGAAATGAGTTGTTATGATGGGGACACAAAGCCTGTAATATATATCTGGCCCTTCACAGAAAGTCCCCTACTCCTCTTCTACTGATACAGTTTACACCGTTATTATATAGCAAAAACAAAAACTAACTATTTTTAAACAAATATATATATATGATATCTCATTTTATTGCACTTTGCATCATTGTGTTTTTTACAAATTGAAAGTTTGTGGCAATTCTGCATTAAGGCTATTGGTGCTACTCACTTCATGTCTCTGTGTCACATTTTGGTAATTCTTGCAATATTTCAAGCTTTTTGAATATTATTATATCTGTTATGGTGACATTTTCATCAGTGACCTTTGATGTTGCTATTGTAAAATGAATTTAATAAATGCTCTGTGTGTTCTGACTGCTCCAAAAAAAAAAAAAAAAAAAGAATTAGGTTGCTTCAAAGTACCTAAGGCTTTCTTGAGAACAAAGATTTAGAACATGGTTTGTTTGTAAAAAAAAATTATTGGGGATCAAACCTACCTAAAGACAAAGTAGTATGCATTTTCTTTTAGAAGACAGAGCATACATTTAACATTTTGAAGAAATTTTATAGCTTCAATACTTCAATTATGTCCTCATCAGGTATTCTGTCACAGGCGAGTATACAAGACATTATAAGCAAAGTACACAAAACATATAACAATGATAAAGTATATTTTAAAACATGATATATGATACTTAAAAACAAAATACACACCTATGTGGACCAAAATGAAATTGAAAGACCATGTGGTAAACAGGCTAAAGACATAAATCTATAGGGTTTATAGAGCAAGCATTTAAAATGTGTACATTTCAGGTGAAAGAATCCAAGCCAGGCTTACTGCAGAAACCAGAAAAGTTGCATATATTAAAATAAACAATGATATATAAGGGAAATATTATGTACTATAAAGATAATATAGTCATGTTAGTATATAAAACAGAGTATAATACAAAGGCCACCAATAAAAAAATAGTGTCAATCATGCTAATAAGGTTATGAATTCTTAAACATGTATAAAAACCTCTAACTATAACATCAAACAACATAAATTTGTTAGATACAAAGTACAAATGACAAAATTATAACAAAAATATTTAAAATTTATAACCACATAGAAGCTTTTAATATACTAGTCTCAGAAGTATTTGTGTTTCAAGAAAACCAAATTTTGAATTGTATTTGGGATTATGGAAAATAATGTTTTAATAAGTAAGACATATTAAAAACATATAAGACCCTTAGCAGGTATGGGCCAACAAAATTAAAAGCTAGTTTCTTTTAAGAGTAATTGTTTAGACACACTTACCAAGAGACTAATTAAGAGGAAAACATATTATTCAAGTAAACAATACTTGAACAAAAACTCAAACATCAGCAAAAAAAAAAAACCTAAAAATCATCAAAGCAATCATCATAAATGTCACTTTTTCTGAAATTGTAGATGAGATAGTCAAATTCTGAAGAAAAAATATAACTTGAAATTGTCTAAGAAGAATAAACATTGAAATAACTATTATAATTATATTATTAAAAAATTGGAGTACAAAAATTCCCTCTGTCCAAGAAAAACTTCAAAATCAAGTGATTTTACTGAAGCTTTATAAAAATTCAAAAAGCTTAATCAATAGAAAAAATGTGAGATGTGTATACAACTCATTTTATGAATTATAGTGTGGTGAATACTGTCCTCCAAAAATTCACACCTATCCATACCTCCGAATGTGACCTTATTTGGAAACAGGGTCATTG
The DNA here is from genome assembly GCF_000001405.40 of Homo sapiens. Lineage (NCBI taxonomy): Eukaryota > Metazoa > Chordata > Mammalia > Primates > Hominidae > Homo > Homo sapiens. The sequence goes on from NC_000003.12 coordinate 103,753,556, forward strand.
CAGATGTAACTAGTTAAAATTAGGTCGTATTGGGTTATGATGGATCCTAAATTCAAGGGACTGATGTCTTTGTAAGAGAAAGAAGAAGACTCAATCAGATGGTCAACACTGACACAGAGCAAAGAAGGCCACATGAAGACAGAGGTAGAGATTACCGTGATGAAGCTACAAACCTAACAACACTAAGAATTGCTGACAACTATCAGAAACTAGGAAGGGAAATGGCAGGATTTTTCTGCAGATGCTTCAGAAGAAGCATAGTCCTGCTGACACCTTGATTTCATATTTCTAACCTCCAGAACTGTGAGGGAATACATTTCTCTTAAAAATAATAGAATTTTATTACTATTACTATTATTATTGAGACAGAGTCTCGCTCTGTTACCCAGGCTGGAGTGCAGTGGTGCGATCTTAGCTCACTGCAACCTCCGCCTCCCAGATTCAAGCTATTCTCAGCCTCAGGAGTTGCTGGGATTATAGGATTCTGCCACCACACCCAGCTAATTTTTGTATTTTTAGTAGAGAGGGGGTTTTGCCATGTTGGCCAGGCTGGTCCCGAACTCCTGACCTCAGGTGATCTGCCCACCTCAACCTCCCAAAGTGCTGGGATTACAGACATAAGTCACCATGCCCAGCCCATTTCTGTTATTTTAAACCACCTAGTGTGTAGTAATTTTTTTTTTTTTTTTTTTTTTTTTTTGCGGTAGTCACAGGAAGCTAACAGGAGAGGGTAGCATGGCTATTCTTCTAAACCAATGTAAGAATAGAATGAGAAAAATATAAGCTTATTTTACTTATGATACGAGATGAAAAAAATCCTTTTTTGAGGTATTAGCAAATTAAGTTCACTACGTATTTTAAAACGTTATGACCAAATGGAAATGAGGCATAAAGATATAAATAAAATTGTCCATTGCAAAGACAAATTGAGAGGAACAGTTGAAATGGTTATCTCAATAAATTTGGAAGAAGCATTTTACAAAATTCAACATTTATTGATGATTTGCAAAGGAAATCCATTAGCCAAATAAGACTACAGAAATATCTTAACCTCATAAATTATATCTACCAAAAACTCTTGTAAACATAATACTTTAAGTGAAGCTTTAAAACCAGTGTCAATAACACCAGGAACAAACCAGGAAACTTCCTTATTTCACTATTATTCAAAAATCAGATGCTATGACAATAAAAAGTGTTTATGAAAAGAAATGGGGAATATATAAATTGGAAGAAAAAACAACAAAATTATCTTATTGCAAACAACGGTGATTTTCTAATGAGTGAAATTATTTCTCACATTGCCTTCTCAAGAATTTAGAGAGAATCTACTTGTAGTATTAAAACATTCAGCAAGATTGCTAAATATAACTTTAATGGACAAAAATTAGTATCATTCATCTAAATATACCACAGAAAGTGAAATATTTTAAATGATATAATTTATAATAGCCGGAACCAAAAACTTGCAGAGTTTCTTGGAGTAAATTGAAGAAATGTGTAAGAACTAATAGCAAAAGTTTAAAAATATTGTACATAAAAGAGAACCTAGTCTGAAATTCTAGATTCTTGCAAATAAGAAGGAACATAAATCCATAAATGTGATGGATTCATAAAGCCATTGATAAAACCAATGCAATTTTAACTATAATTATTAGTAGTTTTCAATGAAAGCAAAATAATTATTTTAAATTCACATGGGAGTACAAAATAATGATTTTGAAACACAAGAGCAAGACAGGCAAATTGTTCCTGCCATATGTGACAAGGATTGATACCACAGATGTTTTGTGGGTTCAGTTCTCCACTGTTACAATAAAGATATTGCAAAAAAGGGAGTCACGTAATTTTTTTTTGCTTCCTAGTGCATATAGAACTCGTTTATATTATACTGTAGTCTAATAAGTGTGCAATAGTATTATGTCTAAAAATGTACAGATCTTAACTTAAAAATACTTTATTGATTAAAAAGGCTAACAATTATCTGAGACTTCAGTGAGTTGTAATCCCTTTGTTAGTGGAGGGTCTTACCTAGTTGATGACTGCTGACTAATCAGAGTGGTGGTTGCTGAAGGCTGGGGTGGCTTTGGCAATTTCTTAAGGTAAGACAACAATGAAGTATGCCACGCTGATTGACTCTTCTTTTCATAAAAGATTTCTCTAGAACATGGCATGCTATTGGATAGCATTTTACATAAAACAGAACTTTGTTTGAAATTGAAGTCAGTCCTCTCAAACTCTGCTGCTGCTTTATCAACTAAGTTTGTGTAATATTCTAAATTTGTTCTGTCATTTCAATAATGTTCACATCTTCATCACGAGTAGATTTTGTTTCAAGAAACCACTTTCTTTATTCATCCATGAGAAGCAGCTCCTCATTGTTGAAGTTTTAGATTGTAGCAATTCAGTCATATCCTCAGGCTCCACTTCTAAATCTAGGTCTGTTGCTATTTCCACCCCCTCTGGAGTTACTTCTTCCACTACAGTCTTGAACCCCTCAGAGTCATCTGTGAGGGTTGGAATCAACTTCTAAATTCCTTTCAATGTTGACATTTTGACCTCCTATCCTTCACAGCATCTTGAATGGTGAATTATTTCCAAAAAGTTTTCCATTTATTTTGCCCAAATCCATCACAGGAATCACTGTACGGCAGCCATAGCTGTGTGTAATGTATTTCTTTAATAACAAGATTTGGAAGTTATATTCCTTGATCGAGAGAGTGTAGAAAAAAAAATTGTGCTACTAGGCATGAAAACAATATTAATCTCATTGTACATTGAGTGACTAGGTGCATTCTCAATGAACAGTAATATTTTGAAAGGATTTTTTTTTTCTGAGCAGTATTTCCCAACAACAGGCTTAAAATATTGATTAAAACATGTTGGAAATAAATGTGCTGTCATCTAGGCTTTGTTGTACCATTTCTAGAGAACAGACAGAGCAGATTTAGCATAATAGTTAAGGGCCCTAGAATTTTCAGAATGGTAAATGAGCATTGGCTTCAACTTAAAAGACATCAGTTGCATTAGCCCATAACAAGAAAGTCAGTCATTATTTGAAGCTTTGAAGCCAGGTATTGACTTCTTCTCCATGGCTATGAAAGTCCTAGATGGCATCTTCTTTCAATAGAAGACTGTTTCATCTACATTGAAAAACCTGTTGTTCAGTGTAGTCATCTTCGGTAACTGTACTACTTCAGCAGCCTCTACATCAGCACTTGGTCCCTAACACTGCCCTTTTATGCTATGAATATGGCTTCTTCCCTTATACCTGATAAACCAAACTCTGATAGCTTCGGACTTTTCTTCTGTAGCTTTCTCACCTTTCTCAACCTCCACAGGACTGAAAAGAGTTAGGGTCTTGCTCTGATTAGGCTTTGGCTTAAGGAAATGTTGTGGCTGGTTAGATCTTCTATTCAAACCACTCAGACTTTCTCCATATCAGCAATAAGTCTGTTTTCCTTTCTTATAATGCGTGTCTTCACTGGACTGGCATTTTTCACTTCCTTCAAGAATATTTGTTTTTTGGGCCGGGTGCAGTGGTTCACGTCTGTAATCCCAGCATTTTGGGAGGCCGAGGCAGGCAGATCACAAGGTCTAGAGTTTGACACCAGCCTGGCCAAGTGGTGAAACCCCGTCTCTACTTAAAATACAAAAATTAGCTGGGTGTGGTAGCAGGCACCTGTAATCCCAGCTACTCAGGAGGCTGAGGCAGGAGAATCATTTGAACCCAGGAGTCGGGGCTTGCAGTGAGCCAAGATCCCACCATTGCACTCCAGCCTGGGTGACAGGGTGAGACTCCGTCTCTCTCTCTCTCTCTTTCTCTTTCTCTCTCTCTCTCTCTCTCTCTCTCTCTCTCTCTCTCTCTCTCTATATATATATATATATATATATATATATATATATATATATATATATATATATTTTTCCTTCACAACTAGGCCAACTACTTGATACAAGAGGCCTAGCTTTTGGCCTCTCTCAGTTTTTGACATGCTTTCATCACTAAAGTTAATCATTTCTAGCTTTTGATTTAAAGTGAGAGACGTGCAACCTCTTCTTTTACTTGAAAATGTAGAGACCATTGCAGGGTAATTACTTAGCTTAATTTTAATATTGTAGTGTCTCGGGGAATAGGAAGGCCTTAGGAGAGCGGGAGAGATGGGGTGACAGCTGGAGCATTCAGAACACATATTTATAGATTAAGTGAGCTATCTTATGTGGGTGTTGTTTGTGGAGCCCCAAAACAATTATAATAGTAACATCAAAGATCTCTGATCTCAGTTTACCATAACAGATATAATAATAATAATAATAATAATAATAATAGTAATAATAAAGTTGGAAATATTGCAAGAATTACTAAAATGTGACACAGAGACATGAAGTGAGCACGTGCTGTTGGAAAATTGTGCTGATAGACTTGGTTGATACAGGTTTGCAACAAACGTTCAATTTCTGAAAAAATATATATTTGTGAAGTACAATAAAGCAAATTATAATAAAACTAGGTGAGCCTGTATACGAATTAAAATATCTGTGTTTACTAACAGAGATATAGACATATAGTTCAATGGAAGAGAATAGATTGTTGAGAGACAGAAACATTTCTAGGATCTTGGTATACGATAAAAATGGCAATGCAAGTCATTAGGAAAAAGGCAGATTAATCAATATATGACATTGAGCCAGATTTACTTCATGTCACATACATAATTAGTATGTGTTTGTATTAAACACTGAACATATTAAAGAAGGAGGAATAATCAGTAACATAAATATCTAGTAGAATATTTTTGGAATATCAGAATAAGTATGTATTAGACATGATTGAAAAATAATTTCTGAGTCACACTACCTCGAAATATAAGCCACAATTAACATCAAAAATTTAAAAACCTGTATAAACACTATTAAAGGACAAATAGTACCTTAGAAGAAGGTATTTATATGGTATAAAACAGAGAAAATAGTAGAATCCAGATATGTGAACAGCTTCTACAAATCAAGAAGAAAAAAGCAAACAAGTATTTCACTAAAGTGGACAAATTTTTGACCAAAATTTATATGAAAATATGTTCCACCTGATAAATAATGAAGTGAATGCAAATTAAAAGGAGTCTTTTTTTACATCCAAGAAGATAGAGAAAAATTAAATTTCTTATTGCACTTGTTTAGAAAGATTAAAGGAGCAAAAGATACTAGCCTCAGAGTGAACAGGCAACCTACAGAATGGGAGAAAATGTTTGCAATCTACTCATCTGACAAAGGTTGAATATCCCGAATCTACAAAGAACTTAATCAAATTTACAAGAAAAAAACAAACAACCCCATCAAAAAGTGTCCAAGGATATGAACAGGCCCTTCTCAAAAGAAGACATTTGTGAGTCCAACAAACATATGAAAAAAAGTTCACCATCACTGATCATTAGAGAAATGCAGATCAAAACCACAATGAGATACCATCTTATGTCAGTCAGAATTACCATTATTAAGTCAGGAAACAATAGACTCTGACGAAGCTGTGGAGAAATAGGAATGCTTCTAAACTGTTGGTGGGAATGTAAATTAGTTCAACCATTGTGGAAAACAGTATAGCAATTCCTCAAGAATCTAGAACCAGAAATATTATTTGACCCAACAATCCCATTACTGGGTATATACACAAAGGATTATAAATCATTCTACTATAAATACACATGCACATGTATGTTTATTGCAGCACTATTTACAATAGCAGAGACTTGAAACAAACCCAAATGCCCTTCAATGATAGACAGGATAAGAAAATGTGGCACATATACACTATGGAATATTATGCAGCCATAAAAAAGAATGAGATCATGTCCTTTGCAGGAACATGGATGAATCTGGAAGCCATCATTCTCAGTAAACAAACACAGGAACAGAAAACCAAACACTGCATGTTCTCACTCATAAGTGGGAGTTGAACAGTGGGAACACATGGACACAGGGAGGAGAATATCACACATTGGGTCTTGTTGGTAGGTGGGGGGCAAGGGGTGGGAGAGCATTAGGACAAATACTTAGTGCATACGGGGCTTAAAACCTAGATGATGGGTTGATAGGTGCAGCAAACCACTATGGAACATGTATACCTATGTAACAAACCTGCACATTCTGCACATGTATCCTGGAACTTAAAGCAAAAAAAAAAAAAAAAAAAAATTAAAAAAGAGAAAGATTAGGCGAAACTGCACCTTACATACACTTCCAGTATTATTGTAAGTTATTAGAATTGCTTTGGTGAACAGTTTTGCAAAATTTAGAAAAAAATTAAAGTATACTTACTCAGCTATTATGCGTCTAGGAAGACATTTTTACGTGCACTAAGGAAACAGGTATATGTGTTTTAATGTCAGAATAAATATTATAATATAAAACTAGTATATATTCACATATACTTTGGCTTAAAGAAATGTAGCTAGTTTGATCTTTTGTCAAAATCACCCAATGGTACATATTGCAATATAGTGAAAATGAATACACTATGTTTAAACAGATTATATTTTTATGTATCATAGAGGATACATTTTCTAAATCTCAAATATTGAGTCAGAAAAGCAAATTGAAGAATAAGACATATAATTTTTTCCATTATACACATTTTAAAATGCTGATAATATTTAAAAAATTTTATATATATACATATTCATAGAAAAAATATATTCAGCATAGATTAAATAGATAACTTCCAATTCATTGTTATAATTTTTTCCAGTGAGAAATAAGGTAATAGGATTGTACTTAATGGGAAACAAGGGGAAAAAAGCTGATTTTTAATATAAATTTTAAAAATAATTCTAAATGTTATATTTTATGTTCTTCCCCCTCCATATGTATCTGTGTTTTAGATTTTCATACTACACTAACTTGCTTTGTATATATAATTTAAAGTATTCTCTAATTTCATTATCAATTTTAATCATATTTTCCCACAGTTGACTCATCATTTGAGGCTCTGTGACAAATTTACATTTCTTGTAATTTCCCTCTGAATTCAGGATTTTTCATCTCCTTGAGTATACATAGTTAATGTTATTAAATCCTCTTTTCTGTTTTCCTTTAGATTTTTTAATTTAAGTCTTTATTGAATTTCTACTTAAAAAACCAGGAGAGAAAAATAAAATGTGTGCTAATTTTCAAATGGCTGATACACCAGGGTGGCTTACATTCATAAACTTTGAGAAAGACCGTTTTTGAGAAATAATTTATACTTTAAGGAGATAAACAGAGAGTAAACAACAGTTGATAAAAATAAGTGACTCTTCGGGCCAGGCGCGGTGGCTCATGCCTGTAATCCCAGCACCCTGGGAGGCCAAGGCGAGTGGATCACCTGAGCTCAGGAGTTCGAGACCAGCCTGGCCAACATGGTGAAACCCTCTCTCTATTAAAAATACAAAACAAAACAAAAATAGCTGGGTGTGGTGGTGGGTGCCTGTAATTCCAGCTACTCAGGAGGCTGAGGCAGGAGAATAGCTTGAACCCAGAAGGCGGAGTTTGCGGTGAGCCGAGATCGCGCCATTGTACTCCAGCCTAGGCAAAAAGAGGGAAACTCCATCTCGAAAGAAAGAAAAACAAAAATAGGACATTCCTTTAAATGGCCTAATAGGAAAATGTAAGCCCTCCCAAATAATATTTTCTCTTCTAATTTAATTATTTTTGACCAATGGTGTGAATAACTTTTTATTTATACATAATCCATTTTCTGTATTCTGTTTTCTTTTTAACTCAGATTTATTTTTCTTGGATCCAAATAGTTGCATGTCACCTTATTTCTATTCATCACTATGCAAACCATGGCCCAAAGTAAAAACGTGGTCATTCAAAACATTTTTTCTACCAATGTGACTAACTTTTAGCATATTTTCAAAGCAAGATAAGGTTAACTGATTAGATATACTATCAATAGACCAGAGCCACTATTTAATCTTGGATTCTGACAAAATACATGTTAACTGCTTGAGCCACAAACAAAATAAACTACCAGTTCTTTGTTTCCATTATCACAATTTCTTAAAATCTTTTATGAAATCTCTTGTGTTTTCCTACTTAAGTGACTAATTTTTTCATATTAAAAGCATGAAGTTCTGTTGGCTTTCCTTCCTCGATTTTTCTATAATGTCTTCTAAAATCAAATCTGAAATATTATCTCAAATTACGGGCTATAGTACTCTCATAATAATTGTGCTAAATCTTAAATTTACACTAATATAATGCTTTCTACAATGCATTTATACTAAGCATGTCATATGTAAGCATATGGCTCAAACAGATTAATTTCTTTGAACAAGATGTTTTTCTTTGTCATACTTCATTATTGAACACTATTACCCTAAATTTTGGTGATATCTATAAAAATTCTACTCACCTTCTTATTTTAAAATATGCATTTTTTACCAATCCTAGTCCCTCTTTTCTGCTATTTTCTACTTAGAATTATTGCGTTTCTTCTCCAGCCATGTATTTGTGGTATTTATTAAAATTTCTTGAACTGAGTACATCTCACTTTTCCCCTCAAGTATGTGTTTCTTATCTTCACACTACACAATTCATGTTTTGCCAGAATCTCAATTTTTTGATATCAGAATATATTCAATATTATTTATGATACTATCTAATGCACTATTTATGGCATTTTCCTTTCTACAAACATTAACCAGAAAGGAGGTAAAAATACCACATGGATCCCAAAGTCTTTTGATCCATGAACAAGACTTCAAAGCTTGGCTTGACATTTACTCCCATACAAATCAAAACACTAATTATGTTCAGCAAACATGAGGAGCTTTCTTCTCTTCAGACTTGTGTTTCTGAAGTTTATTCTCCATATTATGGACATATCTATATTTTCAAAAGGTTTTGTCAATACTTGTAAAGACATGTGTATGACCACAGTGTATTCCACACATTGATCTAATTTTGCTCTAGTTTCATGCTTTAAGTTTTTCTCTTTACCACTTCATCTAGATTGCAAAGTAGTTTTGCAATTGTGAACAGTGCCTTACTATAATTTATATATCCCTCACACTTTTAGAACACGCTAATTGCCTTTAGATTTCTGTGGTCCCTGGATGTTTAATAAGTTTTGGTAGGACATTGCTTTATATTGCATTGCTTTATATGGTTGTTTAGATGTATAATACAATATATTGCTAAACTCCCACATAAGAAATGAAATAAATACTGTCCAATTACAGGTCCTTGTCCTGGTAATAACCAAATCCTATTGATAAAATGTCAATAATCATAATGCTCTCGTTAGGGAACAGTAACATGTTTCTTCTATTCTGTCAACACCTATTTTCTTGTGACTGGCAAAGAGTATTGTTGAATAAATGAACAAATGAGGTGGAATGAAGTGAATAAATGAGAGAATGTGAATCAGGTTAGATGGTGCTTCTTTCTCCAAAAGCTCCAATTTACTTTTACAAGAAGATGCTCCTATTCTTTGTATTAATCCGATTATTCAGAATTTTTTGATTTTCAGTTCTTCTGCTGCCTTTTGTTCCTTTTCTTACCAACGTTGCAAAGTTAAAAATAATGAAAATCGTATAAGTGAGTTAAAAGGGCTCATGGCTCAGTTGTTCAAGTAGAAGAAATTATTTGAATACACAATTAAAATATGATATAGAAGCTACAATAAGGAGCAGGAAAAGTAAAGAGCATCGGAAGATTAAAGATCACTTGGAAAAAGCTTCATAGAGAAAGGAATATTTAAAAGGTACCATGATTAGGAGTTCTGCAGCCAGTTCAGAAGGAACATAGATTCCATATAAACCAAATAGCATGTGTGGTGGGGTGACAGAGGGAGGCATTTGATGGCTACTCCAGTTTTGAATTGCTGGAACTAAAGTGGCACTTGTGAAGTAAGAGGAGAATAGGCTCCACAGGTGATATGGGACAAGCTAATGAAAAAGCCAGAGTTTGAATATTATGTGTAGGCAACAAGGAGCTCTGAATATTTTACAAGCATGCAGTGACACAATTAGCTTCATGTTTAAGAAGATAACCCAGGGCGAAGTACACATATTGGAATGGAAGATAGAGAGGTTGAAAGCACATTGCTCAGACTACAGATAATAAAAATTTGAACAAAGAGGCCAAAAGATTTTGCCGATACTTATAAAGACAAAGTCAATCAGTCACTAAATGACCAAATTAGAACTGTGTATAAATAAATTCAAGAAGATACTGAGAGAAAAAGACAAATATTGCGACGTGTGCTTTTCCTAAATGTACATGGCCAAATTTACTAATTACTTCAAAAATAAAATCAAACAAAACTGAGATTACATTTATCATCTCCAAATGTGAGATGATACATATGTATATATATATGGAGAGAGAGAGAGTGTAAGAAACTCGTATTTCTTGATTCCTTGTATTTTAATTTTTTTGTAATTAATTCTACTATCTCAATGATTCAAATAAGGTTGAGATTGTATATCTGTTACTAAACCAGTATCATGTAGAGATGATTAACTGTTTAGAAAGTAATAATCATTTTTAAAGTCCTCTTAAGAATTAATATTTTATACTGGTTGAGCTAAAATAGATAATCTGAAACAAATGCTATTTTCTATTACTCCTATTCTGTTAAACATTCCAGTACGTTTGAGCACTTGCTTATTTTTTGTTTGTCATTAAAATGAACCCTATTTTAAATGCTTTCTGAGACTGAAGAAGTGCTCTCTTCTCTCCACCAAAACTTTAAAAATAATCCCTTCTCTTATGTTACACAGTTCTATAGATATTGCCTTCAGAAATAGAATTTAATATCAATCCCAGCACTTTGGGAGGCCGAGGCGGGTGGATCACGAGGTCAGGAGATCCAGACCATCCTGGCTAACACGGTGAAACCCCGTCTCTACTAAAAATACAAAAAATTAGCCGGGCGTGGTGGCGGGCGCCTGTAGTCCCAGCTATTCGGGAGCCTGAGGCAGGAGAATGGCGTGAACCCGGGAGGCGGAGCTTGCAGTGAGCCGAGATCGCACCACTGCACTCCAGCCTGGGCGACAGAGCAAGACTCCGTCTCAAAAAATAAAAATAAAAGAATTTAATATCATTTCCTAGGTGATTTGACATTAATATCTCTACCAGAGTTTACAATTTGGACAGAAAATTAATACATGTCATGTTTGAGGGAGTCAGGGATTGTTTTAAATTTGGTACATAATAGAGACAGATGAATCAGAAATATCTTTAGCATACTGTGTATAGAGGGTAACATAATTAAGAAAGTGCCTTTACATATTAATGAGAGAGTTCACTCACTCACTAATCAATAAATGGAAGCTGCTTATCAAAAGCATCAACTATAAAAGGGGAAAAATATTTAAAATATGAAATATGTGAAAATAACTAAGGAAACGTTATATCAAGCTTAAAAATCTATTAGTGGAGTTAGAAAGAAATCAATATATAAATATATATGAAAATTTTTTCACCTGAAGAAAGGATACTAAAATTTCTATATTCTTGCATTTTTTATCTTCATTTTACTGTAAAACATTAAGATTGTATACTAAGGGATATAACAAAATGATAATAGAAGCATAAAAATTAGTTTTACAACTATATAATATGTATATTTATGTGTGTGCATTACGTCATTAAGTCTCACAGTGAGAAGATGGAAAATTGGTAAGTCCAAATAACAAAGTTGTGATAAAATGTAGAAAAAGTGAAATTAAAAGAATGAAGCTCCTATGTAGTTTCTACTACTTAAAAATTTCTTGACTTAGGCATAGAAACTTAACTGGAATTATCCTTTTGTCTCTTTTTTTCTAGTATAAAAACTAAAGAGGTAATGAGAAACTACTATTATGATTTAGACAATGTAAACACCCATTGTGTTTATTTAGATAACGTTAAGGCATAAAGTTATGATTGATTAGATTCTGGTGAATTAATTGGCTAAGATAAATTTTTGGTTCACCTCAAAGCAACTTTGTGAATAAAACAAGCCCTAGATTTAAATACACAATACACTTTTAAATATACCTAATTTGAGAAGTGAGGAATGCCTCAAAAAAATTCATTAATATAACTTCACTAAATGAAATATTATCAAAACCTCCAAGAAATAGAATCAGATATTTTCGGATTATGCCCACTGTCTCTCTGTATTAAACAGCTTTGTTTTCTGCTATAGCATTTTGCCCTCTTTTGGGGGAATAAGCAGTGTTTTGACAAGCCCCCGTGTTCTACCCCAATACCCTAGCTGTATCAACATGTGTATGTGCATTAGGCATCATAATTGAGGAGTATGTCAGACTCATTTCTACTCCTGGACCTATTCTGAGATGGTTACTAGAAAAGACAATGGGCTAAGGACGTGAATAGACAATTCCCAAAAGAAGACATACAAGTGGCCAACAAACACATTAAAAAATGATCAACATCACTAATGATCAGGGAAATACAAATAAAAACCACCATGTGATACCGCCTAACCCCTGCGAGAATGGCCATAATCAAAAATTTAAAAAATAATAGATTTTGGCAGGGATGTAAACACTTTTACACTGCTGGTGGGAACATAAACTAGTTCAACCACTATGGAAAACAGTGTGGAGATTTCTTAAAGAACTAAAAATAGAACTACCATTCGATCCAGCAACCCCACCACTGGGTATCTACCCAGAGAAAAGTAAGTCATTATGCAAAAAAGATACTTGCACAAGCATGTTTATAGCAGCACAATTTGCAGTTGCAAAAATCTGGAACCAGCCCAAGTGCCCATTAATCAATGAATGATAAAGGAAATTGTGATATGTGTGTGTATATATATATATATATATCACAATATGTGTATGTATATATATATCACAATGTATATATAAACATATATATATGTGTGTATATATGTGTGTATATATATATGCACTGTGGAATATTACTCAGCCATAAAAAGAAATGAAATGATGGCATTCACAGCAATGTAGATGGCATTGGAGACCATTATTCCAAGTGAAGTAACTCAGGAATTGAAAAGCAAATATCCTGTGTTCTCACTCATAAGTGGGAGCTAAGCTATGATGATGCAAGGTGTCGTGGGGTGGGGGGATGGGGGAGGGATAGCATTAGGAGAAATACCTAATGTAAATAACGATTAATGCATGCAGCAAACCAACATGGCACATGTATACCTATGTAACAAACCTGCACGTTGTGCACATGTACCCTAGAACTTAAAGTATAATAATAAATAAAAAAAGAATGATACAATGGACTTTGGAGACTTGGAGGAAAGGGTGGGAGGAGGGTGAAGGACTGTAAATTGGGTACAGTGTATACTGCTTGGGTGATGGGTGCACAAAAATTTCAGAACTCACCACGAAAGAACTTATTCATGAAACAAAACGCCACCTGTTTCCCCAAAACCTATGAAATTTTTTTTTAAAATGATGATGATGATAGTATAACATTTTAAAAAGGGGATTTCATGGATATTTTAGGGGTCAGGAAAGATGTAAGCCTGTATCTTAAACTTGATGTGTCTATAGAACTTGAATTTTTCTCTCCAAATTGATGCCCTACACATACCGCACAGGGTCTAAGATGAGTCTTTCAGGTCATTTTTGAATGGTGCAATTACATCATGTTTGGCCTAATTTTATCATAAGTGTATTTTACCCTATTCTCATTTTGTTAAAGCTGGCCTTCTGCATATATATGTTCTTTTCTCACTGACCAGAATGATTAATTAATTAGAATGTCCCATCTCACCATCATTCTGCATAATGAGAGTTTACTGTACAGCTATTTTTGGTTGTTGAAATAGTGGAAAGCTGTTCACAATGATGAGTACCTGAATCTGCTGATTGTAGACATGGGTAATTCACAATATTTCATCAGTCATGAGGGGAGCAGACAAGCTAATTGACCCACTTAAGGGACTGAGCTCCCCAAAGAGGGCTGTCTTTCATGGCTTAAGTCCCATTAATCAACAAATACTCATTGAGCTCCTGCTGTGAGCCTTCCGTGATGCTGGAGATGCAGGTACAGAGTGCAAATCAAGACCCCTGTCCCATTGAATCTTTTGATTCAGTTGAAGAGCATGATTCACACAAGGCAGCGCCAGGAAAACATGCTGTATTCATGAAAAGGATCACGTCACATGCCCGAGAAAGCTGCCGACTTGCGCAGGATGTGAAAAAAGAATCAAATAATGCAGAAGAGACCTCTTGCACATGCTGACCAGAGAATAACAAAACACAGAGCCCACCCGCAGCAGGTGTTAACATGGAGGGCGCACCTTTGCGCGTGGCCACGTGACATGCCATGTGTCCAGGATAAGAAGTAGACATCAAAGGCCATTTTCAGGCTCTGGGGGATAACAAAAACCAATCCTTTAAAGTTGTTGGGGATTTTTGCTTTGTTCTGTTTCTAACTGTGTTTTCTGATTACACTGGGAGTTCGCTCCAGGAACACAGGATGGAGCCCGTTAGGAAAATGGACCTTTCCATTGAGGGAGATCCCAAAGTCAAAACAGCCACTTAAACAAAACAAACAAAGAAACAAAAGACAGTGGGTATCTAGACACTGTCTAAATTATAGTAGCAGTTTCTCTTTACCTATATAGTTTTTATACTAGAAAAAGACGAAAAGATAATTCCAGGTAAGTTTCTATCATAAGAAAATTAGAAAGAAGTGAAACGGTAAAATTTTTTGAAATATAAACCCTGTTTTATGTTTATAAATATAAAGCCTAGCAGAAAGCCTGGGAGTCGCAAAGAGCAGTAATAGATTTAATCTATCTCAGTGTGTTTATTTTGACTTACATGAATTGGACACCTCTGTGAAATACACAGCTGAATACCACTGAGGCAGTCACTGGTGGCTGAGCTCTGCTGACTTGCTGGGTGGGACACCTGACACCTCTGGATATCTTTAAGGTAGTTTCTGACAACTTTCTTGGTGGAAATTGACTAGGTCCCTTTTTGTTTATGTAAGAGATTTAGGATATGCCTCATCGATTCATGTTTTCAATATCTTCACACCTGGGATTTTTTTTCCTCATATAATTCCCAAGATACCTATTTATTCTACAATCATTGAAATTTGTTTTATATCTTCTATTCCACAATCCTACCATGATATTGAGGCTTCCCAAATCCAATCTATATTTATACCAAAATGCCTGGTGAACTACCAACTCTGATACAGCTCTGATCTCTAGAAAATAATTGAAAATCCTTTTGGGGGTGCTAGTGATTATCTACATATGAACATTGACATGTCTGTGAAATAACTCCATGCTGTTTGGAAAGATTCTTAGGTTTAGCATGTGCACATGTTTTAATCTCATCACATCTTTTATCTACTGCTTTTGCCACCTGGCCTGAAAGAAATTTGTTAGGTTAAATAAAATGTTCCGTGGGGACTATGTCTTTGCAATGACTATTTGCTAATTGTTTATTACCAGTGGACACTAGAGAGGTATAGGTAAAGTTATAACGGTATTTGACATATTGTTAAACAGGTTGGAAACAAATTAGGTGTTGTAAAACTTTCATGGTCAGTTAAATATGGTGGCAGTTACTAGTCATAAGCAGTAAGAACACCTATTTGTTGGCAATAGAAACAGAAAAATGAAATATCAGTCCTTCTCTGTAGATAGTTTGAGAAGAATTGTCTCTCATTAAGGTGGTTGATTTGGAGATGTATTAATAACACAGCATTTTGTGTTTAAATAATGTAATTCTATTTCCAAATAAATATTTAAAAAGAGTAAAAAAATGTGGATATGAGAAATTTGAGAAGACAGGTAAGCCAAATCCAAATATGCTGTATAAAATTCAGGTGGAAATGGTTTGCCTTAACAGGCATTTGTTGAAGAGTTATTTGATTTTTTAATGTCACAAAAGGGAACTGCAAAAATATTTGCTGAATCCTTATATTTAAAGCTCATACAGAATAGAGAGCAAGACTGTTTTGCTTGTATGTAGAACTCATGAAAGATGTGAAGTAGATGAGGCACCAATACATGTTTTTACATTATGAGTGATCTGAAGCTGAGCATATGTCACTTATTTTTTACAGTCCTATCTCTATTGAAAACTGTGCCAAAATATTTAATAATATTCAGCTTCAATCACCCAAAGGTAAAGGTCTTGATTTTATAACATTCATTGCAGATAAATTATACTGGGCATCTGTATGTTTGGTACCTTAATAATAGCAAAAAACTTTTACATGTTATTTCATGTGGTCCTCAAAAATCCTCCAAAGACAAGAAAGTATTTCTTTTCATTTTATAGAGGAAGAAATCATCAGTAAGTACCTGGTGAGACTGAGGCTCAAAAGGAAATGGTTGAACAAAAAGTCAGCCAACAAGTTGGCAGATACAGAATACTCCATTAAACAACTGCACAATTCATGTCTTTCAAGCCCTCATGGAATAGTGGCTAAGACTGAGAATATTCTAAGCCATAAAATCAATCTTATAAAATTTAAAATAATTGAAATCATGAAGAGTGGTTTCTCTGATAATAACTGAATAAAAAGAAAAAATCAGTAAGAGCAAGGCTACAAAATATCTTCAAACTCTTGAAAATTAAACAACATACTTCCAAATAGGTCATAGGGGAAGATTAAAAATAAACAATAAAATATAGAGACCTAAGTGGAATGAATACAATGCATGTGACATACTGCCAAGATATATGAGCTACAACTATAGCAGTGCAGAGGGGAACACATATATTTACCCTTAAAACAGGCAGAGTCTAAATTCAAAAATGTAAGTTCTCACCTTAAAAAACTAGAAGAGAAAATAGACCTAAAGCAAACAAAAGGAATAAAATAATATAAATAAGAGCAGAAATTAATTACATTATATATCATCTATTTAGAAAACATCCATGAAATGACTAAAAACAATAGAAAAAAATCAATGAAACAAAATGCTGGTCTTCAGGAAAAAATCAATAACTGATAAAATTGATTGATAAAATAAGAATGACAAATTTTTAAGAGACACAGATCACGAACATCAGTAATAAAACAGGGATATCACCATGGATTTTGAAAAAGAATAAAGTATAATAAAAGAATATTAAAAACAACTTTTGTCACATAAATAAGACAAAAATGAATTTCTCAAAAACCACAAACGATTAACATTCACCCAAAATGAAACAGACAACCAGAATAGTTCTATAGCCATTGAAGACATTTAATTTGTAATTTAAACCTCCTGAAAGAAACAATTACAAAATTTCAAATGGTTTCCATAAACAGTTCAGATAAATATTTAAAGAATAATTTAAACCAGTTTTATACACACTTTTCCAAACAACAGAAGACGAAATATTTTCCAAATCTTTTTATGAGACTAATGTTGTTGTAAAACCATAACCAGACAAAAACAATTTAAAAAACTACAGACTAATATATCTCATGAACATAGATATAAAAAATCATCAATAATATCCAGACAATTGAATGCAACAAAGAATAAAAATAATTATATAAGATGACTAACTGGGATTTATTCTAGGTATGCAGGAGTGGTTCAACATTTGAAAATCAATGTAATCTAATGTATCAACAAGGTAAGGAGTAAACTCAGCTCACTGCAACCTCCACCTCCTGGGTTCAAGCAATTCTCATGCCACAGCCTCTCAAGTAGCTGAGATTATAGGCACGTGCCACCATGCCTGGGTAATTTTTATATTTTTTAGTAGAGATGGGGTTTCACCATGTTAGTCAGGCTGGTCTTGAAACTCCTGGCCTCTTGATCTGCCTGCCTTGGCCTCCTTCCAAAGTGTTGGAATTACAGGCATGAGCCATCGCACCAATCCTGAATTCTTATAAATTGATGCAGAAAAAGCATTTGACAAAATCCAACACATATTCAATATAGAAGAAAATCACAAAAAATTAGGAATAGATGGGATAATGAATAGCATCTACAAAATAGTATCTACAGCTACCATCATGCTTAATGGTAAAATACTAAATGCTTTTTCACTAAAATTGGAAACAAGACAAGGATGTCTACTCTCACTTTCCTTATGTTACATAATACTGGAAGTTTTAGACAATGCAATAAGAAAAGAAAAAGAAATAAAACACATACAAATTATAACAAAAGAAATGAAGAAATCTTATGTACAGATGGCATGTTTGCTTATGTAGAAAATTCCAACCTATCTACAAAGTAATTTCTAGAAATAATTGAACTGATTCAATTGGCAGGATACAAGTTCAAAGTGATGCTGAGTGAAAACGATAATCTTAAAAGGTTGTATACTACATGATTCTATTTATTTAACATTAATGAAATGACAGACATATAGACATGGAGAAGAGATAGTGATAGCCAGGGGAATATGGGGATCGAGAAAAGGGTGGAGGAAATATCAACGCTATTAAATGGTAGCGAGAAGGATCCTTGTCACAGAACTTTTCTGTATCTTGACTATGGTGACAGTCATAGAAGTTTACAAATGTGATAAAATTGCACAGAAGTAAATACACACATACACACAAATGAATATATGTAAAACTAGTGAAATCTTAGTAAGATTGATGGACTGTGCTAATGTAAATTTCCTGGCAAGATATTGCCAATGGTTGATTAACCTAACTACTCTGTGTTATTTTTTATACTTGCATGTGAATCTAAAGTTACATCACAAATGCTAACAAGAATAAAGTGCGTGGCTTTGCCAACTTTTACAGAGCTGCTGAGAGATGAAGGAAGAAATATAATCGTTTTGTCACTCTTAGCCTGAAGCTCTTTTCCCTTCAAAATAGCAAGTGCCCAAGGCAAACAATGACTTAAATTGAGAAAAGAAGTTATTATTACTAGTTATTTGTCTGAGCTTATGTTATTTTTTATGAATTCCTATAATTAATTGAAAACACAGACAAAATTATAAAAGTGCAATAGTCAAGGAAACAGAGGCATAACAGCCCAGAAAAATGTTAGGCCTGCAAGTGTTCTTTCCCATGCATAATCATATTAGAACATGGAAGTGTGACATTGAACATCATGTGCAGAGTTACTGTACTGCTGACTCATTTGTAATTTTCTTTTTGTTCCGGGTGATCTAAAACTATAAATGTTTTTAATTAATAAGAATGATCTTTAATTTTAAAATGAGAAGAAAGAAAAGCAAATTATCAATTGTATCTGGGTGTGTGTGTGTGTATTCATTTCCTATTGCTGATGTCTATAACAAATAACCACAAACTTAATGGCTTCGACAACACAATTTGTTTTCTTTCACTTCTGGTGATCAGAAATGGGTCTTGTAGGCTAAAATTAAGCTATCAGCAGGGCTACATTTCTTCTAGAGACTCTAGGAAAGGTCCATTATTTACCTTTTCCAGAGCCTTCCAGAAGCTGTTTTCATTCCTAGGTGCATGGTCTCCTTCCAGATATGATAATTTTCCAACCTCTGCTTTTGTTGTCATACCTCCTTGTTTGACTCTGACCCTCCTACCTCTCTTTTCTAAGGACCCTTGTGATCACTTTGGGGCCATCTGGATAATCCAGAGTAGCCTTCCTATCTCAAGATGGTCAACTTAATCATATCTGTAAAGGTCTTTCATCACGAAAAGGAACACAATCACAGATTTCTGGGATTAAAACATGGATATCTTTCGGGGATCATTATTTTGTCTACTACGTGGGTAAACTGATAATAAATTCTCACATTTCAAAGTACAAGTTCAAGACCAAGTCATCACTGTGTCAATGTTATGAAATATTTCATGACTTAAAAGTACATCTCCATAATTTTGTTACAATCTGGTAATACGATCCGCTTCATGTAGGAGTCCCCATTTTAAAGTGTAAGAATCTGAAATGACAAGCAATGCTTCCTCTAGTTACAAAAATAATGAAGGTTATGATTAAATTTTATCTTTATGAAGTGGGTATATTCACAAGGACTGCATATGCTGGATAATCAGCAGAAATTTTTATAATGTGAAGCATTCTCTATTAATTTTTATATTTTAAAAAATAAATCCTCAAACTGTATAATCTAGCATAAATGCTCACATACAGACCATACTAATATACTTGCATAATAGTTTACACAGGATAATTTTTCAATTTGAATGCAATACAGCATAACATGTTTAATAATTGAATAATAAAATATTTTCAACCTGAATGCTGAATGTGGGATCTGCAATCATTAAAATTCAAGTTCTTATAAATGATTCATAATTTAATGATAATTACCGAATTTCACCTTCCCCTACCCCAATCAAAAGAAATCCTGCATCTTCTTAAATGATAAATTGTTCCACAACATTCTCATACATCACATTTCCAAAAAACAACTATGATCACTAACGCTCCTCTAGTCACATGGCTAAAAATTAATGACTTATGGGATATGGGTTTCACCCTTTCATTACATTTATAATTTATAATGTGGATCAACAAAGCAAAAATAAGCCTCGGGTGTGCCAACTATAGTGGTGTATGATAGTTTGCATAACTGGATGCCAGTTATATGTGTAAACTGTGTCTACTTGCAAGGCTTAGGTACAGCAAACTATTTGCCATCTCATTCTAGCTATTTCCCCTCTCTATTAAAATATTGTTAAATATTTGGTTAGTGAAGCTTATATTGTTATGAGCTTCTGTTTGTTATTCTATTTGAAATCAGAGAATTTCCATGAGGAAAATGGGTTTGACATATATATATATATAATCTTAGCATATGTATATATACATTTTGATATTTTGGTAATGTACTGAATATTTTTATCAGAATTAATAGTGGTAAGAACTTTGGTCCTATTTTAGTGTCTTGAGCCACACAGAGCTAAAGTCATTTACAATTTTTATATAATATGATAGGTATTTTCATAAGAAGGTACTTAAGAGTAAATAAGAAATCTAAAATGAATTGCACTCAAATTATTTTTCTCTGACTTACCTTTCCCATTTATCGCTTACAAGATAGTAACGAAATTAGTTATAATATGTCTTACTAAGGCGCTAGCCCTCAGACAAGCAAATAAACTTAGAGATCTCTAATAAAAGCAATGAGTGTCATCCTTGGTCCACAGAATTGAAACATATCTTATTTCCTGAGGGTAGTCCCTAAGGTTTACAGTTCTGAAATTTTGTATTTTTTAGGAAAATTGAGAATTAAAAGGTTACACAGTTAATGCTAGATAATGGTTGTGGCTCTATAATGTGTTTTAGAAGGTTTATAAATAAATAAATAAATAATCCTACATCCATAAATATTTTAAATGGTTGATCCCACAAGCTACATACACATAACAGCACTAGTTTGTCAGACTTAGTGAAAAAGTAGCATTAGGGAAAGCAGATTCACTATGAGTTGAAACAATACACATGCTAGGGCTCTTACACATAAATGCCTGAACAGAGTGCACAGAGGAAGGAATGTTCCATTAGCCGGAAGGTAAGACGCTGTCTGGAAAGGACTACAGCAGTACTTACTCTGCCCATACCTGACTTGTCATGCATTTAGCATTTGTTTTGTGAGAGCATACTCAATCTTCAATTTAGTATTTCTAATGATTGATTACATTGACTCTCTGTGGAGTGAGGATTCCATACTACTAATGAGTAATGTAAATTATGCCTCTTGTTTATGCTACTATTTATAAAACACACACTACAGCAAGGTGGCCACTATCCATTTCATTCACAAATGTTAACCTTGGGATATCGACAAAGTGAAGACCATAAAGTGTAGTAAATTTAGTATACTTTAGGATGTAGTAAAATATTTTTAAATAAAAACAATATTTTTTTGAGGACGGTATAACATCATTTTATTATTTTTTTTTCTGACAACATTGGTAGACTCTGCATCAAAACAATTGTTATGTCATCATCTAAACCTAACAAAAATGGTCTAGCAACTAAAGCCTGAAATGATTTCCTTCTTTATTCCTTTCTTCCTTCCTTTTTTCCTTCTACATCCTCCTTCTTCCTTTCTTTATTCCTTCTCCTCCTCCTTCTCTCCTTCCTCCTTTTTCCCCTTCTCTTTCTTCTTTATTTAAAGGTTCTCGTTGTTCTTAATATTACCAACATTTTTACCCCTAAAGACTTATCCAAATGGTTGGGAGGCCCAAATTTTAAACAATGCAATTATGGTCATGAATCATATAAACATGGGTATGAGGAGGAGAAGTATACATAAAAAAAGGAAATGAATTGTAACTTTTTAAAGCTATTTTAGGCAGGGGGGCACGGTTATGCCTGTAATCCTAGCACTTTAGGAGGCCGAGGTGGGCGAATCATCTGAGGTCCGGAGTTCGAGACCAGCCTGGCCAACATGGCAAAACCCTACCTTTAATAAAAATACAAAAATTAGGGCATGGTGGTGTGCACTTGTAATTCCAGCCACTCGGGAGGCTGGGGCACAAGAATCACTTGAACCCCGGAGGCAGAGATTGCAGTGAGCTGAGATTGCGCCACTGCACTCCAGTCTGGGTAACAGAGTGAGATTGTCTCAAAAAACAAAGAAAAAAAATCTACTTCAAGCTACTTCAAATCTTTAAAAGGTGAGTGAGCTATGTAAAACACACATATGGTAACAAAAGCAATTAATATATGGTTCTTCTTGAAAATTGTTGGTGTATTAAAGGTATGATGCTATACACAATTGTCCATTTAAAGCATATGAAAATTGTAAATAAATATTTTTATTTGTGTTATCTGGGTAGAGGAAAACTTTTGTAAGAAGAAATTGAAACATTAGATTAATATATACTTACTATCACCTACTATGTAAGTATATGATTACAAACTATTTATTTTTATTTATTTATTTATTTATTTATTTATTCTTTTTTTTTTTTTTTGAGATGGAGTCTCGCCCTGTTGCTGGAGTGCGATGGCATGATCTCGGCTCACTGCAACCTCTTCCTCCTGAGTTCAAGCGATTCTGCTGTCTCAGACTCCTGAGTAGCTGGGAGTGCAGGGGTGCACCACCATGCCCAACTAATTTTTTGTATCTTTTGTAGAGACGGGGTTTCACCATGTTGGCCAGGCTGGTCTTGAACTCCTGACCTCATGAGCTGCCCACCTCAGCCTCCCACAGTGCTGGGATTACAGATGTGAGCCACCGCGCCGGGTCCAGACATTTATTTAATAATATGCCTATAGAGAGAAATGTCATTATATTGAAGAGAAATTTATTTCAGGTTGTCAGAGTTATCTAATGACTAGATACTTTAGCATGTAGGATTGTTAACTGCAACTCTCTTAAGAAGTATACCGTCACAATTATTAAAAGCTGCGCTCAGAAACCCAGTTCTCTCCATCATATTTTTAAGAATTGTTTCTGCAAGTTTTGCTCTTTAAAAAGTTAAGCAAAAGATGAATCAGGTCATGTCTCTTAACCAGAAAAGAGATTCTCAGATAAAATAACAACTTGGGAATAACAAAATATGTCTGAAAGGTTTTCTTATTACATAATAAGCCTATTAGAGACCAAATTCAGTAAAAAGACAATTAAATAGAACACCTAGACATTAAGGGTCTAATAATGAAAAAACAGGTTTACCTTCGTATTATCTACCATTTACTTTATAGGCAATTTGAAGTTTCATCCTACTCAAAGAATCTTGACAATCTATTTAACAAAGTAGTTTTCTTAAATCTATAAATAATAACAATATGAACATATATATAAGTATATATGGATATATATAGAGATATTGATTTATATTTCAAATGTATGTATAAAAAGATACATTCCAGATTTATATCTATATGTAAATATGTGTGTGTGTGTGTGTGTGTGTGTGTGTGTGTAGAGAGAGACAGAGATCTAGGTGCGTATATTAAAAATAATAACTTTTCTTTGGGATACTAACAAAAACAATAGCAATAATTATTCTTTGAAAAGAGGGAAATAAATATCCTTCCTCTACATAAATTCATATTTAATGTAGATAAGACCTCCTTTCTAATTCCCTAGCCTATAATAGATTTTCTTTCATAGCCACACCTATATTCAGCTCAAAGGAAGATTTGTTGATTAAGGTTATAGTTTATTCTTAGTTATTTTTATATAACTTTCAGAAGTTGATATTGAAGCTTGCAAGTTTACTTCATCTGAAAACTTTAAAAGAATAAAAAGAAAAGTTGGAGGAGGAGAGGGAAGAAAATAAGAGGAGGAAGAAGGAAAAAGAAAGAAGGAAAAACATTGCATTCCTGCCTTGGGAAACAGGACAAATCATTGTTTACATTCCTCCCACAACTTCAACTCCTATCATCATACCTAAAATGTAAACGATCTTCCCTCTGAAGGGCAAAACACAAGGAAAATGTTAATGGCTGACACAGCCATTTTGAAGACACACTACATGGAAGTCAAAGTATTCTAAAATATTTCCCTGATCTAGTAAATAAAATAGAGGATATCTCATCTTTAAAGAAATGTACAACAATTAAAATAATTTACAAATTAGATAAAAATTTTAGCAGCATTTTTGTTTTATTTATTTTGAGATAAAAGCCTGTACAACATGACAATGCTATGTTACTCGATGGTAGACAAACAAATAAAAAACCTAAAAACAAAAAAAACTCGTGATATAGAAAATGGGAGTTCTTCCTTAAAAGTTAACCTGTCTATTATATGACAGTGACAAGGGGCTGGAGCAACATGAGTTTGCATATTTATTTTTACTATAGATTTCTTTTATATATATAATATATACAAGTATATTTCTATTACCTATATACACAGTGCTGTGATATATTTATATATATTTATTATTTCACTCTAATTTACAGGCTATGATATACATATGTTTAATATATGTTATATGTGATATTCTTAATATATAATGCGTTTGTATATTTTATATATCATATATTAAAATTATATTTAATAATTAAATTATATTTTATAATAACATATTTTATATAATATATAATATTAAATATATGTATATGTTATAGCCCTGTGAAATAGAGTGGAGTAAGTATATTTGTTCTTACATTTTTAGGTTAGAATAGAATTTGGAACATATCTATTCTTACTTATAGCCTAAAGCTTTTTGGGGAGTCTGTGGATCATATAAGCTATACTTAGTAATACTGAGACTTGCATTCTTCCATACATTGTGTGCTGAGGAAGCATTTAGAATATCAGCTACCTCTGGAATTGTTGAAGGTTGATTTCATGTACCTGCCCTGGTGCACACACTTCCTCACAGTAATATGATTATGAAAGAACAACTTTCCATACTTGATGTTTTACAAATTAGTATAAAGTTTGAGTTATTTAAAAATCATGATGATCTATTAGGAGAAACTGGTAAGAGAATCATAACTACATAAAGACTACCTATTTTCTTATGAGTTTAGTAGCCTTGTTTTGAAGACAGTTACTAAAATAGGTTCTGAAATTACTTGAGCAATGGCATTATTAAGGTAAATGTATAAACTTTAAAAGTGAATACTTTGAAAGACAATTGGTTGGTTCTCCTGTTAACTTTTGAGTAGGGACTTATTGTTTCTATTTACATTTCATATTTGAAAAAGTAACCACTCTTTAGCATTGTGAGAAAGTTTCCACAATGGCATTCTAAGAACTCAGAGATTATTATCATCTTTGATAAAAATTACATTGAGAGACAAGGGAATTAAGAAAAACAACAAAAGTTAACAGTTGTTTGATCAGTTTGATGAACATGCTAATTACTTTGACTAATTATCACTATGTGGAAGGAGATTAATATAAAAGCATGATCAATTAAGTTATGTGGCATATATAATATACAAAAATTCCTACCCAAATATTGTACGTGATTAAAGTAATTTGCTGTTCGCTATTCACCAGGAGTTTTTATCACATTTTCTCATCTTTGAAAGATTATCTATTTTAATGACTTTTTCACAACTCTGTAAACACTACCATTTAAAAACTTAATAATATTTTCCAAAAACATAATTTCTTAAAATAGGAAGTAATGAATACCAAAATCACCTCTTAGGATTAAAAATATAAAGGCTGTGCTTATTGTATAAAAATCAGACAATTTAAGTCACGTGTTCCATAACAAGTATGTGATATTGAAAGCTGTTAGAGACATGCATGGTGGCTCACGCCTGTAATCCCAGCACTTTGGGAGGCCGAGGCGAGCGGATCACGAGGTCAGCAGATCGAGATCATCCTGGCTAAAATGGTGAAACCGCGTCTCTACTAAAAATATAAAAAATTAGCCGGGCGTGATGGCGGGCGCCTGTAGTCCCAGCTACTCGGGAGGCTGAGGCAGGAGAATGGCGTGAACCCGGGAGGCAGAGCTTGCAATGAGCCGAGATTGCGCCACTGCACTCCAGCCTGGGCGACAGAGCGAGACTCCATCTCAAAAAAAATATACAAAATAAAATAAAATAAAATAAAATAAAAGTTTGCTTTTCAGTCATCAGAAGACCTTTTCAGACCAACTTGTTAGTGAATATAACTAACTCTCAGCTTATGCTTACAGCTGTATATTCTTATTTATCCACCATGTTCTGTGCTTGTTCTTTGAACATCTGGAACAAAAATAAGAAAGTATTTTCAAATAAAGTAATAAACATTTGAACACAAATCAGACAGCTTGTGAAACAAAACAAAATATTTCCATGGAAATGAAGTTTCAGACAATTTTAGGGTATTCAGACACTGATGCTAACATGTCTCTTTAGATTTAGATAGCATTTAGCATAAATATAAATGACAATTTCATTAAAATCTGATTTCCTACAAATGTAGATTATTATTTTATTCACTTTTATTCATTTCTGCAATTCAAAACTACTGTGCCCTGTTGAATATGCACAGCATTATTCAAAATTGCAGTGCATGGCATAAATCTTATTACATGCATGAAAAAACAAACTTTTTTACAAATTATAGATATTTGCAAGCAAGGAAAATGGAGTAGACCCACATTTGATAAGCATCAATTCAATTCATTCATGCAACTTTATAAGATACTGTCATGAGTAAAAGTGTCAGAAGAACAGATAGGAGGTCAAATAATTTCTCAGGTAAGCATATATGATCATGTCATTAGGAAAATACTCCTCCCGATATCCTTCTTCATTTCAATTACTGTGTATTGCATAGACACATTTCTCTATGTACTTATATTAATTAACTCATGCTAATATTTAATATCCCAAAGAAATGTCCCCCCAATATAAATAATTATTCATATATGAATCTCCTCATTGTCTTAGTTTCAGTGACCATATTTCAGTCAGTATAATTGTCTTACTGTAAGTGATCTCTTTACAGAAAACATATAAATATGATGGTTCCCAGCATTATGATGTCATAACACCTATAAATACAAGGAGAAGAGAAATATATCTTTTAAATTGAGAGTTTATAGTTCTCTTGTGGATATCTTCCAGCTGAAGATGAGCATCTATAATTCTTCTTTGACAGAATAAATTAGAAATCCATGATTTCTATCAAGTATTATAGAAAATTTCAGATACCCTAATCCATATAATACACAAAATGAGCAATCAGACCTAATATTTATTTCCAAACTATTGTTGGCAAACACAGGTCATAGTAACAAGATAATAAATCTGACTCAGTAATCTCACTAGGTGATTACTGCCATTCAAATATAGCATTCTTCTTTACTCTTCTGTAGTTATACAACAGCAATTGATATCAACATTTATCTCCAGAAAGAAGAGAGAAAATAATGGAGTCTGAAAATAAGGCTACCCCATAGTAGATCATTTTTTTTCCTCCTGCTATAGAAGCCACACTGTTCTTTTTCATAGATATGTCAGTTGAAGCAATTCATGTGTCATATATAGCATTTTATCTATATTCTAGCGGGTACCAACATTCTTCGATTTCCCCATTTTCCCAGCTGATAATTTACTTTTTATGATAACCATTTCTGTTTTTGAAATGTCACATGAATAACCCGATTATATCTTTAAAATGTCAAGCAGCTAAATATCATGATTTTTTGCTGTATACAATATATCACTGTTTTGCATTATGAGTATATAGTGGTTATTGACTAACCATATGAAAGGCCATTTCCACAGTAACTTGTTCCAGTTCATAAGTGATCCATGGATGCTCTGCTATTGTAAATATGCCATTCTGTCAACCAGTTTTGCTGGAAATTGGCTACAAAATAGTTGGCTGGCACATATCAATAGTCAACCTTAAGTTTTACTGAAACAACTCTTATTCTTAGACTAATAGTGAAAATATAGTTAGAGGCTTGTATTATTTCAAGAAACTTTAGGATTTAGCAAGCAAGTTCCCACTATAAAGGATTTTATTTGACAGTAACAGAATAAAGATGGACTTGAAGCCAATTAACAGGATAGAAATGGATTTGATTTTGGACTTGTGTATGTGTGCAACACTCAGCTGTTTAATTTACTACTAGCCAATTTTTATTTAACTCAGTTGATTTACTTTGTTTTTAGATTCTATCTTTTCATTCTGTTTTTATAGGAATTAACACTTTAAAAATAAGCAAGATTATTTTACAATCTCTTGCCAAAGGCTGTTCCCTCTGAGTTTCAACACAAATGGTAGTTAAATAGGGTTTTAAGAAAGAAAAAATATATATTATATTTCATTTTAAAGTTTAAGGGCTTTGTATGCCTCTTATGGAAATAAGCCAAAATATACATTCCTCACTTGGATTTTACTTTGCTCTGTTAGTTTATTAGAGTTACAAAATTATAATCTTTAATTTTATCATTCGTTTTTCATTCCTTTACTTGGATTTTTATATAATAAGAACTTCTTGTCTACTGTTTGTTACTCAGTGGTATAATTTGTATAGGAAAAGCAGGATTAAGTGCTTTATTATTTCCCATTAATTACTAGTTTCTATTTTTTTTTTTTAATTTTAAGGACAGGGTATTGTTCTGTTGCCCAGGCTGATATGCAGTGGCATGAATACAGCTCACTGCAGCCATGACCTCCTGGACTCATGTGATCCTCCCATGTAAGCCTCCTGAGTCGCTGGGATCACAGGAGTGCACCACCATGCCCAGCTAATGTTTAAAAAAAAAACTTTTGTAGAGATGGGTCAACTATGTTGCCCAGGCTGGTCTCAAATTCCGCTCAAGTGATTCTCCCAAAGTGCTGGGATTACAGGTGTGAGCCACCATGCCCAGCCTTAATTACAAGTTTTCGAAAACAGTGAGTCATTCCCTTGCAATCTTCAATTATGATAGACGAGTTTTTTTTGTCCCATTATGATCTCAGAAATACACACATATTGATATGCTTAATCCATCACAGTTTTTAAAATTGATACTACAAAGGCCCCATTTTTGGGGCTTGGTACCTTTTCTAGTTAGTTCTTAAGTCCTTTTGACATAACCAGAGTGAAATTTGATAGTTCTTTGTTCTCTGAATTGACAATATATTTCAGGTTTATACTATGTATTAAATGTCCAAGACATGGAATCAAACATTTTCTTACAAGCCTTGAGTAAAAAATATCATGGTATTTGAATGACTTCCAAATCTCTATTGCTGGGCCAAGCTAGAAACTTAGACTCATAGTACTGTAAACAACACATAATATTGATATATGTCCCACATGTATTTCAAACTCAGCATGTTCAAAGCTGATCTTCTTATCCCCACAAAATTATAACTATAACAAAAACAACAAATGCTTTCTTTTATGTATACTCATACCTCCAATATTAATTAATGTTGCTAACTTACACCCGGTCCCTCATGCTGGAGACTTGAGAATCATTCTAGATAATTCTTCCTTTTTCATATTCTATTCAGTCCTCAAATAGAATTAATTTTACCTCCAGAATGTTTAATTATTCTAATATTCTATTCATTCTATCATCTTATTAACCTGTTATTTGTAACACTTTTAGAGTAATTTACACCCTTAACTGACCAGTATATACAGAACATTGCTTGGTCTATTAAGTCATGTGAACTTTTTCCTATAGGAAGTGGAAATGTACCTGCATGGTATTCAGTCCTAATTCCCTGAACTTTTGAATCCACTTTCACATTGTAGCCAGACTATTCAGTCTGAAATACAGATATGGCAATAACTTATCACCATAGACCCCTATAATGACTCCTTATTCCATGTTCTCTAGGATCCCTCTTTACATCTTCAGTGGTTCTTTTAACTCCTCACAATGACAACCTTCAGGCACAATTTAAGAATTTTTTGTTTTTCTGCTCCAAAGATATCTCCAAAGCAAGAAAAGTCTCCTTAGCCCCCGTATTGGTGCAGCCTGAAAGTGTGGGAAGTTAAAGTACTCAGTCTTTAATTAATGAGAGTAAATGTTGGTAGATATTTGGTCTGCATTAGTATAATCAGGAGGGATAACTCTAAGGGACATTCTACAGAAATCTTTAGAGGGGTGTAAGTAAAATTGAGTCCCAGTTGTCTGCTGTAGTAACCAGCTCAATAATGGCCTTGAATTTTCTTCACTCTTCATTCGGCTCATTTCCTCTACTTTCTGGGATTTTCCCAGCAAATAAACTGTCTGCCTGCCTGCCTTCCCTCTCCTTCTGTGATTCAGGCTCTGCTCTTGAATCACAGTCCCAATATCAGTATGTAGGCATTCTTTCCTCCTTTCTGATTATCCTGCTCACCATAAGAAGGTATCTGATGCTGGCCAAAGCTTAAATAAAGGATTTGTAAGGAAGCACTTATAGCGTTACTGAGGTATTGGCTTTTAGACCAGAGAATATTGGTATTAACTTTTTACCTATTAAAACTTTAAAAATGTATCAATGATATAACTGAGACAATAAAAAATTAAGTGACATCTCTCAGACGACAGAATTAGCTATGGAAGACTGGATCTGTGAGTCAGTATTATTTTTTCTAGTATTAAACCAGTTTTGAGAACTGTCTTATATTATTTTGTTTTGCTATAATAGAATACCATAATCTGGGTAATTTGTAAAGAAAATAAATGCCTTATAGTCCTTGAGAGTAGGAAGTTCAAGATTGAAGGGCCCATATCTGGTGAGGGCCTTCTTGCAGAACCACAGCATGGCAGAAGGCAACATATGACAAGGGAGCACTCAAGAGAAAGAGAGCAAGAGGGGGGCACTACTCTTGCTTTTATAATGAAGCCACTTGAGTTAACAGGGACAACCCTCATGACCTAATTGCCTCTTACATGACCCTACCTCCCAATCCCATTGCATCAGATTTCCAACATATGAACTTTGGGGGCACATTCAACCACTGCAAGAACTCAAAATTATAAATTGATAAATGGAACATTTTTCCCTGTCTATAATACATCAATAGCTTTCCATTGTTTTTAGAATAAAATATTCTGTATTTATGGTGACCTAAAAAACTTTTTTCCTAATATATTCTCCACTTATCTTCTCACAATATGTTCCTCTTTGCCCTTGCTGTTAGAATTCTTGCACAGCATCCTGCTAACATCTTAGGAACTTTCCCTTGATGTTCTGTTTTTGGGCAGTCTATAAATTTTCTCCACCTAACTAACTTCCTCGTAACTTCTAAATCTAAATTTTAATGGTATTTCTGTGGGGAAATCTTTCTTGACCGCACAGACTTGGTTGTATTGAACTGAAGTATTTTTTAAATCTCATGTAGTTAGGAGTGATTTAAAGAATTTACAGAGTGCTTACTGCATGTCAGGAACTGTTTTAGGTTGCTGTGTATACAGCACACAAAACAGACACTTCTTGAACTCTGGTAATTTATGTCCTACTAAGCAATTGATTAAGAGCTGTCTTTAAAACTCTAAGCCCTAGGGAAAGAAATGATGCCTGCTTTACTAACCACATAAGAAGTCACTCAATAAATATTTGCTGATTTTTGTTGATGTCTATAGAATCTTTTGAAAATATGGATAAGCTTCAGCTTCTAAGATTTCTTTTTTCTCTTGGGAGTTTATATAAATGCACACATTTAAATATACACTTATTTAAACAAATACTTGAAAGGGTACCATACATAGGGTAATACTTGTGTGGGCCAAGAGCAAATTTCTTGAGGTACAAATCCACCTTACTCAAAGTGAACGTGCTCATCCACATTATATGGTCCTGCCCATGAGCTGGAACTTACAGTTTAACTGACTAGGACACTATTCTAAGAGAACATAAGTGTGGGTGTATGTATTTTTGTCTGGGGGTGGATGTATTAGGAATTCTGATGCAATAATCTGATGCCTAATGCCATACAGTGCTGGAAACTCAGCATTTGTGTAAATACACCAGCTGAAAATTTAAGGAACCACACACATCTCTTATGATATTTTAAAAATTGCTATTACTTCATTTAGTGTTTTTGGTGAATTCAGTTTCCAGTATAACACCAGGTTCATGTGAGAAAAAGCCATTTTTAGATGGAAAATGGAATATGTAACTTACAGGAAAAACAACTAGCTGAGAAGTAAATTATATTACTATGAAGGAAACGCAATGGTAAGAATTTATAGCATTCTTTTTTTTTCTTAAAGCAATATTTTAATGAGACAATTAAGCCTGGTTTCAATAACTTATTTTGAAATTTCACCTCTCTAAGTCATTATTTGGTTTAGTCTGTGGCTTCCTTGATCCCGTATACTTTTACCAGAAAAATAAAACAGACACATAAAATAAAGTAAAATTGAAGAAAGAAAGCAACCTTGTATCTGCTCCACTTTGTGTTCTCAGGCTAAAAGGAAAAAGTTAGGCTTATCTGAGTTTTACAGGTATTCTGGGAATCGGTCCATTTTGCAACAGAATCTGTCCTTTCATGACGTGTGCTTTGGGAATAGAAGCAGCTGCTGGATTGCTCTCCTGAGTCCTGGCAGTAATCAGTAAGTCACCAATTGGTCACAAGCAATGACTTGACAAATTCGGTTTTCTCATCTCCCCCTTCTCCAAGGGGTGTGGACCCTTAGAAGCCTAACTATGCCCAGTGCTCCTAAATAACTCAGTGTGCTACACCTATCTCGTCACTGACAAGTCACACCCCTTCTGAAAGGGCTGGCTGGATGTGCTGCTGTTGCTTCCTGGCTTATGAACTACTGGATCTTTTTACGTGGCTGCCTTAGCTGACTGTGTTAAAATAGACTCTCACAGAATAACAATTCACTCTGCCTTCAGATGCTCTCTGAAGGGCAAATGCCTCTGAGGTACTTTATAATTGTGTTACATCCTTAATTCAGTAGTTGTTAATGGTTACAAATTATCAGTAAACTTTTTTTTTATTAAATAAACAACAACAGCAACAATAAGCCCTATAAGAAAAAGACTTTCTTCCTGATCCAATTTCTATTCTGAAGAGGCTTATTATTTTGACCATATTTCACAAATTTTATTTTCTTATTTCTTATATGATAAATCTTGTAGAATTGTTTTTTAATGTTGCTATTAAAATGTCCCACAAAGTCACTCAACTACTTTTCTAACAAAGACAGAGAAGATGCAATTTATTTCTCTTGAATAACTTAAAGCAACGTAAAGTATTTCTTTTAAAAAAGTTAACATATCTTCAACAAAGCATTTCTTGAATGTCTCAGGAATTTTATATTGCAAAGATGAGTAAGCCATGGCCTCGGCTTCAATTTTACATATTCCAGACGAAGTGCTTACCACTTCAGAAAGGTTGACTTTTCTTGTCCTGAAAGGATTCTGAGACATAATGGAAAAAACAAGGGCTTTAGGACCTCTGAGATTAGAGTTCAAATTGCATTCCACACCTACAAACTAGTAGGTGTTTGAATTTATGCCTGCTACTTTCTCCTAGTTTTATTGTTCTCTCTATAAATAACCTAGAGGGTTATTTTAAGAATATAACTATAGTCAGGTGTCGCATAGCAATGCTTCAGCCAATGATGGAGTGCATGTACAATAGTGGTCCCACAAGATTGCAATACTGTATTTTCACTATTACCATTTCTATTAATATGTTTAATACGTTTAGCTACACAAATGCTTACCATTATATTGTAATTGTCTACAGTATTCCTTTTAGTAACATCTACAGCTGTGCAGGTTTGTAGCCTAGGAGCAATAGGCTATACCATATGGCTCAGGTGTGTAGTAGGCTATTCCATCTAGGTTTGTATAAGTACGCTCCACTATGTTTGCACAATGACAAAATCTCCTGAGGACACATTTCTTAGAATGTACCTTAGTCATTAAGCAACACATAACTTTAGTATAAGAGAATGTTTGGCATCTTGTGAAATCTTAATAAGCAGCCATTACAACTTTCACATATTAGAGAGTTACCTGGGAGGATTTTGATGAATTACTCTAACAAGAAGACTACAAAATGCAATGGCTTCAACAAAGTAGAGGTAAGTGACTGTAGAAAGGTAAGTATTTAGGGCTATTTGGGCTACTCTGGCATTCTTGTCATTCTCTGGGTCAAATATGCTATTCCAGTTTCTGTCATCTTTCTACCAGGAAAGGGGAAAAGGATTGGAGTAGGAAGTATTTAATCCTCTTACAAATATGAAGTAGAATCGGAACCATTCTATGACACATATCGGATTTGCTGAAAGTTATTTACATGCCTACACCTAGCAACAGGGAAGAATGATAAATATAGCATTTAGGTGGGTGGTCACATGACCATCTAAAACTCTATTATTAAGAAAGAAGAGAAGAATGGATATTGCCACATAATTAACACTCTACTAAACTTGGTTTCTCTCTGGTTCTATTTTCTTTTCTTTTCTTTTTTTTTTTTTTTTCAGTATTCTCTATAAAAAACTCTGGCTTGCAGATTACAGTGTTCTCCTTCCTGTAATAGTCATAGCCTTAGGATAATCATTAACATTATGAATTTACTGCAGTGCTACCTATGACATTTGTTGTGAATATTGGCTTCAGTTATGGAAGACAGACTGAAAATATGTGGCCTTAACCATTCATAAAAAAGTCTTATAACACTTGTGCATCTTATTCCAGTTTACCTTCTGACAGCAGAATTTACACTAGTAAAATAAGTATGGTATACTTATTAACAATAATAATGAAAATGTGGCCTAATGAGCTCCATTTCATGTATCAGCATTTCTGTCCTACTCCTCCCCAATAATACAAGGAAAAGAAAAACAACACTCTAATCTTGACAAAACTACTGCTGATGTTAAATAATATTTAAAGTAAGGGTCTTCGTTATATGCTGGTAGCTTCAAAATTTTTTTCTTATTATAGGCTATGTGTCTTTTCTATCCTGAAATCCTTAGCATTTCCTTCAGTTTTCTCCTCCCGCATACTGATTAATAAATCTCTATTAATACTGCAATTAGTGTGCAGTTATTTTCCTTCCTGCTTTCTAAGAAAACAATGCTATACTTTTCCTCAACTCTGAATTATTTTTCCACGAGCTTTGATGTCACTGCAGAAGGGAATGTTCTCATTTGCCACCCTTAAATTTTTAGTCCACTGATATCTATGTATCTCTGTCATCACTTCCTTCAAAATGAAATATTGCTTTTTAAATTGATAATAATCCTTCTACTTATGCTCTGAATTCAATTTTATTTTGCCTTGTTTATCATTTCTCTCCTTATATTAAACCCTGCAATCCATCATCAATATTTAATTCTCTACTGGCTCATTCCCTTTGGCATACAAATGCATTTCTCACCAGCTACTGGCATTTGCATATTTTATTTATTTTTAGCAATTATATAGCAGGTTAATTCACATAAATACAATAAATTTTATGTCCATAAAGTATTAAAGTTTAGTGTGCATACACTCAAGAAACCTTGACAACATTCAAGATAAACAGACTTATTATTTCCTATGTAACTATATAATTAGTTCTCTTTTGTGATCACTCTTCCCTGCTTTTATTCCACCCCACCCAAACCTCACCTCTACCTTTAAGTAATCACTGATTTTCTTCCCGTCACTATATTTTCTGAAATGTTATGTAAATTAAATCATACTATATCAACAGTTTTGCTTGTTTTTTTAAATATAATTATTGTGAGGTTCATTTATATTTTTGTATGTATCAATAGTCATTTTATTTTTTTGTTGAATAGTATTCCATTTTATTGGTAGGCAAAAATTTGTTAATTCTTTCACCATTTGAACACTGGGGTTGTTTTCTACTTTTGGCTATTAGAAATAAAACCGTTACGAACATTTGCACACAAGTCTTTGTATGAATAAAAGTTTCCATTTCTCTTGGGATAATACATAAGTAGATTTTTTAAATTCATATTTCAATTATATTATTGCTGGCATATAGAAATATGACTATCTTTGGTATGTTGACTTGAATGACTGTGATCTTTGTAAACTCACTTACTAGAAGCTCAAGTTTTGTTTAATTATTCTATATAGACAGTTTTATCACCGTGAACATAGAGTGTTTTTTTCTTGCTTTTAATCTGTATGACTTTATTTATTTTGCTTGATATATTGTAGTTAATAGTCAGTTCAATAGAATGTTGAATAGCAGTAGTAAGAGAAAACACCTTTCTTGTTTGTTCTTACAGGAAAAACATTCAGTTTATCACCATTAAATATGATGATAACTGTAAGTTATATACAATTGCTCTCTATTAGGTTAAGGCAGTATCTGTCTATTTCTACTTTACTGAGTGTTTCATGTTTCCCATGAATGGATGTAGAATTCTTTGAATTCTGTAAAATGCTTTTTCTGTATCTATTGAGATAATGAAGCATTTCTTGTTTAGCCTGTTAATGTAGTGAAGTGATTGATTTTCAAATGTTGAACTAACCTTGCATTCCTAAGATTAACCTCACTTGGTTTAACATATCATTTTTAAAAAATTTATTGCTGGATTATATTTATAAATATTTTATTGAGTATTTTAATGCTTAGGCTTATAGCGACACTTCATTTTAGGCTATTAGTGTAATGCTATCATCAGAGAATGAATTTGAGAATGTTCCCGCTTCTATTTTCTGGAACATATTATATAGAATTGGCATTATTACTCCCTTAAATATGTATTATCCTTTACCAATGAAACCACTTGGGCCTG
This sequence comes from Homo sapiens, assembly GCF_000001405.40. Lineage (NCBI taxonomy): Eukaryota > Metazoa > Chordata > Mammalia > Primates > Hominidae > Homo > Homo sapiens. The sequence goes on from NC_000003.12 coordinate 103,790,556, forward strand.
AAGTTTTCTTTAGTAGTCATACTTTTATTTAGGTTTATCTATTTCTTTTTAGAGAGCTACTCTAATGGATATGCAATGCTATTTCATTGTGGTTTCAATTTGCATTCCCCTAATAATTAATGCTGTTCATCATCTTTATATGTTCTGAGTTTTAACCAATGTATTTTTGTTAGTGAAGTGTCTATGCAAAAATAGTTGCCCATTTTAATGTTATTTGCCTCAATAAAATTGATCGTCTCTTTGTTATGTATTTGGAACATAACTCATTACACAATAATGACTAATGCAATACATTATACACTATTTTCCTTAGGTATAATGTGTGAATTGAAGTTTGTTTATGTATTTATTTATTTATTGGCACATGCATATCCACTTTTACCAAGATCATTTACTAAGATTATGAGTTCTCAACTGAACTGTCTGTAGACATTTCTTCATAATTAGGTTTTCCTATATGTGTAGGTTTATTTTTTATTTTCTATTACATTGAATATGTAGATTTATGTGGGAAGAATTAACACTTTATCTAAAATTTCTAAAATTGGTTTTCTAATACAAAAACAAGCTATATCTCCCCATTTCTTTATATCTTTTTAAAATTTTTTTCAGTCATGTTTTGTCACTTTCTGTGTTTAGGCCATACACATCTTCAGACAAATTTATAAATAGGTATTTCAAATTTTGGATGATATTGTAAATGTTACGGCTCTTTCTGTTTCAAGTTCTCATTGTGGCTACAACATAGAAATAATTTGTTTTCGAACAGAAATAAAGTTGATTTTTGCATATTGATCTGGTGACAAAGAAATTCTGGTAACTCTTGTACAGTTCGCCACATTTTCGAGGTAGACAATGCTTTCTGCCTCCAGGATAACCACTTTCATTTATTATTTTCAGTTTATTTTTTTAACAAATTTATTCCAGTTGCTTTATTTACTTGTGCTGGCCAGAACCTTCAGTTGAACATTGAATAGAAGCAGAAAGGGTGATTATGTTTGCTTTCCTTCTTATTTTATCATTATAGCATTCAATCTTTCATTATTCATTATGATATACACTGCAAATTTTTGTGCACGCCATTCATCAAGTTGAGATTGTTTAATTCTATCCTTAGTTGGCTAAGAATTTGTATCAAGAATGGATGTTGAATTTTGTCAATTGTTCCTTCAGTGTCTATTGGGGTGAGCACATGCCTTTTGTTTTTACTTTGTAATACAATGAATAATGTGATTCAACTTAGTTACACCAATATTGTATTTCTGAAATAAACACCAATTTATTGAGTTATATTATCATTTTTATACATTTTTCAACAGAATTTTCTATAATTTTAATAAGCTTATTTGTTTCTATGTTCATGAGAGCTGTTGTTGTGTAAATTTCTTTACTCATAATGTCTTTGGCATGATTTCATACTAATCCTAGCTTCGTAGAATTAGTTGGAAAGTATTTCTCAATTTTCTGGATGAATCATGTAGAACTGGTACTATTTCCTTTTCAAATGTTTAATAGAATTTCCCAGTAAAACAATATGGGCCTAGAGTTTTCTCAATCTCTCTTTTTAGTTTCATTGCTATGAGATATTTTTACCCATCATTTTACATTTCAACAGCAGCTGGCACATGGAGACTTTAATTATTGAACTTTTAAAAAATAGATTATAGTTCTCTAGTGAAGTTTTCTATTGTGAACACATTAATCACAATCATTTTAATGCCCCTGTCCAGTAACTTCAATATGCAGATCCCCTCTTGGTTCTTTTTCCCTCTCTCCCTCCCTCCCCTCCCCTCTCCTCCCTTCCTTCCTCTTTTCCTTCCTTCCTCCTTCCCTTCCTTCCCTTCCTTCCCTTCCTTCCCTTCCTTCCCTTCCTCCCCTTCCTTCCTTCCCTCCTTCCTTCCTTCCTCCCTCCCTCTCTCCCTCTCTCCTCCCTCTCTTCTTCCTCCCTTCCCCTTCCCCTTCTCCTTCCCTTCCCTTTCCTTCCTTCCTTCTGTCTGTCCTTCCTTCCTTCCTTCCCAAGCTAATGTTTTAGTAAATGTTGGACATTTTTGTGAAAATTGTTGAGACTTTGGAATTTGTCTTTTTTCATAGGTGATTAACAATATCCTTTTTCTGGGGAGCTACGGCTAGAGTAGATCACATTAATACACGTAAATTCTAAACTAATTCCAGATTAGGTTTTGAGCTGTGTCAAGTTCAGTCTACTTGTTTTGCCTTAAAAAAAATGGATTCTTTTCTCTTGGCATGCCTGATTGCTCTCTCTCCAGCACAGATTTCTAAAGTCTGCATTGCTTTTCATCCATTTTCTGTCGACCTTATTGGCTTCTACTTTGTACAGCTTAAATAATTATTAAATATCTCCAGGATAAAACCTAATATAATTACAGGCTCACTCCTATATAGCTCTACTTTATCAGAAAACTTTGAACTTCAAGGCTTGGCTTTTCTGAAAGGTGCAAAATTTGTTTATTATATAAAAATTATGTAAAAGTGGATTCTGTCAATGGCATTTGGAAGTTGCATTTCCCTTAGGATATATGTCTTCTGAGGGAGGTAGCTGAGAATATAGAGACTTAGCTGTGATTTTGATACTATCCAGTATCCAGTACCCTCTTTTTTTTTTCTGAGACTCCAAATATATGTATGTTAAATGTCCCCGTTGCATCTATTTATCTACTATATTTTCTTTTTTCTTACTTTCCTTTCATCATTCTGAATAACTTCTGAACTATCATCCACTTTACTAAATGTCTCCATGTCTGATCTCCTTTTAAATTATCCTTTTTGTTATTTAATCGAGTAATTGAGGTTTTATTTCTAGGACTTCCATTTGTTGCTTTATGGAATATCAAGTTGTCTGCCATAATTCTCACCTTAAAAAAACTTTCATTGAGTGTAATGTCCACTATGCAAAACTGAGGAGGCATGGCAAGCTAAAAATTCTAAATGCTCTATGAACTCAAGCTCCATAAAAGTAAAAAAAAATTGTATATGAGCAAATCAGAGGTAAACTGTGCTGAAAAACAAAAACAAAGGATATCTTAAAGGCAGCAACAGGAAAACAACAACAACAACGACAACAAAAACATCTCTAGTGGTGCAGCAATAAACTGGCAGCTGATTTATAGAATGTAGGTATTAAAAAAAGAAAAACAGCCTTTCTAGTAGAAAAATATTAACAGGGATATGCTCTGAAAAATTTACTCATAGTCAATTTCAGGTTACACTAGTTTGTAAATGCCAAATTCTAGGTTCGTTCCAGAAATCAGGTTTTGATAGAGTAATGGCAATAATACTAACTGAACATTTAGGAAACTTCAAAATACAAAAGTCAGTGAAAGGCACATTTCAGAGTATTTACTTCAAATTTCACAAGCCTAAAATATATGCCTCTTAACAGAAAATGAATTTGGATTTCCAATAGATGAAAATTATGATCCTTAATATTATCACTTTGGACATCATCCAAAACAGTCTATATTGTTGATATATTACATATGCTCTTTCAGATAAAAGTATAATGATCATAAACATAAAAGGGATTGGGGTGAGGGAGGTTTAATTTTCAAATATGAACTGTTTGAGAACCCATGTTTTCACATCCCCCTCACTCCTTCCTAAAAAATTATGTTTACCATTTCCATCTGTGTTTACCAAGTTTGAAAATGGTATAACTTTTCTGTATAATTAAATGCATACTTTAGATTGTGAAATGCATAATTATAACATGAAATATGTATGTACTGTGGAGTAATGTGCATGCATCATTTACTACATAGTGAAGCAGATACACTTTTAATTAAACTCTATGATGTACAATATATGACCAGAAGAATTATGCTTTGAATAGCCAATTCTATAAAGAGCCACAAAGTGTATTATATACATGACTATGAATCATTCATCAAACACCCCCTAAAGGAGAATGAAAGCAAGAGATGCTTGATATAATTTTCTTTTTGTTCTAAGTAATGCAACAGTTGTGCATTCCTCTAAGGATAAAGTAAACTATTGCTAATACATAAGAAAGCAGGAGCGATCTAGCTCTTCATCTGCTGACTAACATACTGTTCCTGGCAATACAGAATAAAAGCATAGTAAATGGAAGAAACATAATTCTTAGTCATAGATTTAGGTATCAGAAAGAGTTTCATTTGGAGAATGCAGGACATCTGCTGTTGATGCCTTATGGACCAGTTTTGTAGTCATTTCCAGGTGGGATTCAAGATGCTTTCGACCCAGGGGGCTATAGATGTTTAGGGAAGCAATTCTCACACTGTGGAATGCATACGAATTATGCAGATTCTACTTCATTATGGGGGACTCTGTTTGGAATGTTATCAAGCCACTAGGTGGCTCAGTTGTAACTGACACAGTAGGTCAGGAACTACATGCCCGGGTTTAGACCATCTTTACACATTAAGTTAATAATGCAGCAAGCAGAATGGGAATGGGAATGCACAATGGCTCTCACATTCTTTATATTCCTTTCTGTTTATAGAATATCTCACAATCTGTTAGGGAAAATTGGGGTTCTCTATTTCACTGTGGAAAACCCTTGTCAATATATGTCTCATTGGAACTCTATTTAAGAAATACAGTGATATTCAGTTCTTGGTCAGTATGCTCTCAATATCTGCTGAGTTATGAAATTCTGGACAGAATACCAGCTGTCTGGCAATGCAGTGTTTTTCATGGATAACTTTCCTTTGAGATTATTTATTTCCATTTCTCATTTGACCAAATCCTAACCTTCAGCTACACATGAGCTTAAGGGTATCTGACAGATATCCCCTTCTGAGAAGAGAAGCTTTACTATTTGCTTGCCTGGCTTTATTGTACATAATGTGCAAATAAAATAATTTAAAAGTAAATAAGAGGTGAAAATATGCATTTTGAGAAATGAATGTTTGCTTTTCATTTTAACAACAAATCTTAAAATTCCAACTGTGAAGTAGCTCATAAAATCAAGAGATACATTATTACATAATTTTTAAAGAAAATAATGGAGTAAAAATATCCAAGATTTCAAGTTATTGTTATTGATACCATAGAGCAATTTTTTAGGACAGACAGAAAGAATCATGACATTTTCATTAATGAATGCTTCCAGTATTATATTATTATGTTCAAAACGCAGTGGCTAACAAATTAAGGTAGCAAAATTTTATAACCACTGTTATGGAAGAAAGTTTGGGGCAATCATATAACATTTCTAAAACAATTATAAAATTCATTAGTCAAATTTCCATATTTATAAATTTTGATCTTCAATGTATTGTTATGAATATATTTTAAACTTTGAAGATGACCTGGAGATGTTTTTCTTTTCTCTTAGATTTAGAAGAATAATGCTTTATAGGAATCAATTCTGAACTCTTGATTTCCAGCTAATTAACCAATCTCCTAGAACTGAGACGTGAAAAAGCCCTGCCAACCAGAAGAGTCTCTTATAGTGGTCAAAGGGAAAATGGCAGCAAATAACCTGTATGTGTTTGTGTGTGTATACTATGTGTATGTCTATACCTTATATATACACACACTAGATATATACACACTGCATATGTACACACTTCATACATTATACGTGTGTGTGTGTGTGTGTGTGTGTGTGTTTTCTTTCTGCTTTTTCTAACATAAGAGAGCTTTAAAAAGTTTTATTAGGGGGCAGGGGTCAACTATCAACTTGCTCTTTCAAAATACCCTCATATTTTATGAGAAACAAAGCACTACTTCAAAGATTATATCCCACTGAGCTTTGAATTATAAGCACATAAAGTCTTCTATTTCTAGCAGCTAGTTCAGTTCTAGACATAAAGTGGCTAAAGTGGCTGTAATTAAATGCAAGAGAAAGAGAGAAAGAGAAGGAGGAGAAGGAGAAGGTCGAGGAGAAGTGGGGCGAAGTGGAGAAAGAGAACTATGGTTGAAAATAAGAGGGATAAAAAATGGGGATGTGGCATAAAAATCTCAGGTAATCTATCAGATGGCATTATAGGATTTAAAACTTTTGGTTCTCCTATCACAAATATTTGAATTCAATCCAGTGTTTTCCATTTATTCTTTAATAATTAGTTTAACTTTTGTATGTCTCAGTCACTTAAAAATAATTACAGAGACTTTCTCATAGAATGGTGAGCGGATTGAGTGAGAAAATGATTGTAAAGCAACCAGCAAAGGAGTATGGTGCTGTATTTTTATACAGTACTAAAGCAATTGTAGCCTGTTAATATTTTTGTTATTTTATAATCTCTCATGTAGACCGTTGTAAAATAATATGGAGCCTGAAATTGAAGTAAAAATGTAAAGAAAACCAACAATAACTTTCCAAATGTGAAACCATTTTTCTTACCCTTAGCCCAAGTTCTCCAAGGTTAATCTAATTGGTAATATATTTGTGATTTCCTTATTTCTACTATTGTTCTATCTAATTGATTTGGATGGCCTTTTATGTCAACATTCTCAGGCATTACAATGTGAAAATTTAAGACTAATTCTCATTTTTAATAAAACTTTTATTTTCAAGTTATTTAAACTTACATTCAGTTATAAAAAAAATACAGAAACATGTGTACACTTTTCCCAGTTTCCCCTGATTGTAACATCTGCAATTCTATAGCACAATATCACAACCAAGGTATTAGTATTGATAAGGCAGTCACAGAACATTTCTATCATCACAAGTATTGGTCATGTCGCCCTTTTGTACCCACTCCCATGCCTCTTCCACCCCCACCTCCTCCTTATAAACCGTCAACCACTAATCTGTTCTAGTTTGTATACGTTTGTCATTTTAAGAATACTATATAAATGAAGTTACACATCATGTAACCATTTGGGGTTGGCTTTATTCACTCCGTCTACTTTTCTGGAGATTCATCCTGGTGGGTGAATACATATCAGTACTCCATTCTTTCTTTATTGCTAATTGCTACTCAAGGATATCCATGCACCACTTTTTTCTTGTTGTTGCTTAACCATGTACCCACTAAAGAACAAATATGATTTTTCCAGCTTTTGGCTATTATGGATAAATTTCCTAAAAATATCTGTGTATACGTCTTTATGTGAACAAAACATTTAATTTATCTGGGATAAATTACCAGGAGTGCAAATGTCTAAATTATGTGGTAAGTGTGTTGATGAAGAAAAGCCAAATTTTAAAATACTCAAAGAGGTTTATTCTGAGCTAAATGTTAGTGACACTGCCTCAGGAGGTCCCAAGAACATGTGCCCAAGGTGGTTGGGTTGCAGCTTGTTTGCATACATTTTAGGGAGACAGAATTACAGGCAAAGACATAAATCAATACACATAAGTTATACATCAACCTGTTCTGGTAAGGAGGGACATCTCAAAGTGTAGTAAAGAGATGTTTTCCAGGTCACAGGTGGATTCAAAGAGTTTCTGACTGGCAATTGGTTGAAAGATTAAGCTTTGCCTGAAGAGATGAAGTCATAATAAAGAAATGCATGAGTTAAGATAAGGGGGATTGTGGAAGCCAAGAATCTTCGTACGTAGATGAAGCCTCTAAATAACAGGCTTCAAAAAGAATAGATGGTAAATGTCTCCTATCAGACTTTAAAAGATTTCAAACTCTGTGTTAAATCTCTACTGGATCAAGAAAAGAAGGTTCTCTACAAAATGCAAATTTGCTTCACAAGAGACCGCTTTGGATGCCTATTCCAAAATATGTCAAATACATATATTTGGAGTAAAATGCTTTGATTTCCTTTATGGCCGGTTATCTATTATGTGATACTGTACCAGAGTCATGTTGGAATTTGGTATCTTTTTGCTACAAAGATTGTGTTTTGTCAGTCTTATCATTTCTATTTTAATGGTAATGCTGGTCAGTAGTGCCTAAACTTCAAACACAGAAGGGTATGAGAAGGCACATCTGACCTCCCTTCCCAAAATGGCCTGAAGTAGTTTTTCAGGTTGTCTTTGGGATCCTCTTGGCTAAGAGGGGGGAATCTATTCAGTCAGTTGGGACATTCTAATTTTACTTTTTATTTTCAGGTGCATCTTAAGACTTTTTAAAGAAACCATTTAACTCTTTTCTAAAGTGGCAATACAATTTTACATTACCATCACCTATGTTTGAGTGATCCAGTTTCTCTATATCCTCACTAGCATTTAGTGTTGTCAGTAATTTTAATTTAGTCATTTGTATAGGTGTGTAGCAATATATTTTTGGGTTTTTATTTCTACTTTCTTTGGGTTTTTATTTTTAGTTTCTTAACGGTTAATGATGTTAAAGGTAATTTCATGTACTCATGTGGCATCTGCACAGCTTCAGTGAAATATCTCTTCATGTATTTTGCTTATTTTCTATTGGATTTTGTTTTTATTTACTGTTAAAATTTTAGCACATTATTTAATCTGAATGTAGAACTTTATTGGACATGCAGTTTACAATTATTTTCTCCTGGTTTGTAACTTGTCTTTCCATTCTCTTCACATGATCTTTCATAGAGCAAAAGTTGATGATATAAAGACCATTTTTTTTATTTCTATGGGTTGTGCTATTGTTGTCAAGTCTAAGAACATGTTGCCTCCACTTAGATACTGACAATATTCACCTACATTTTTTTCTAAAAGTTTATGGTTTTGTATTTTACATTTAAGTCACTGATGCATGTTAAGGGTTTTTTTTTTTTCTTGTTTGTTTTTGTTGTTTGCATAAGGTATGAAATAGGCTGAAGTTTGTTTTCTGTTTATTTAGTCTATGGACATCGAATTGTTCTAATACCGCTTTTTGAAAAGGTAGTTTTTCCTTTATTAAATTGCGTTTGCATATTTGTCAAAAATTAGCAGAGCCAATTTGAAAATATGGAATCCATGAAAATGAAGTGAGTTTCTTGTAAAGGCGTATATGCCATTATATGCTATGTTTTTTAATCTACTCTGTCAATCTCTGACCTTTACATGGTATAGCTAGTCCATTGATATTTAATGTAACATATCAATTGCATTAAATCATATATCCATTACATTAAATTACATTTAATGCAAATAATATATTAAGGATTAAGCCTACCTTTTTATTTTTAATGTTTTTATTTTTGGCCTTCCTGGGTGGGTTCAAACCACTATTTAATTTTTTTTTATATTTGTTATATTTTTCATTGTCTTTATTTTTCATGTTTTTTTGTGGGTTAATTGAACCTTTTTTAAAATTCCATTTGGATGTGTATATTTTGTTTTCACATATATTTCTTCATATTGTCTTTTCATTGTATGATCTAAGTATTACTACATATATATATATATATTCCATACTATAATCTACTGTTGTCTCCATCTTACCAGATCAAATGAAGTAGAGAACCCTTATCTCCCTTTGCATTCTTTTTTATTATTTCTGCTTATAATGTAATTATCTTAAATACTTCTTCTATGAACATTTAGAATTATATCAGATAATATTACAATCTTTGTTTCAGCCATCAAACAATTTAGAGAGTTCAATAGGAGAAACACCTATTATTTTTCCCATTTTTTATCTTGTCTTATTTCTGTTTCTTCAGGCTTCAATTTTTTTTGTATTATTTCTCTTCCGTTTATATTTTTCAACCATTCTTTTGTGGTAAGTCTTCTCACAAGATATTTTGTTGGTTTTCTTTCATTTGAGAATATCTTCATTTCCCCTTCATTCCTAAAGCATAGTTTTGTCAAATATAGAATTCATGGTTGAAATATTTTTCTTTTCATTAATTTTCTTTTCATTAATTGAAAAATATTGTGTCATTTCCTTCTGGTTTCTTTTATTTCTGATAAGAAATAGCTTTCATTTGAATTTTTCCCCTTATAGATGTCTCCCCCTCATTGGCTGCTTTCAATATTTTTTTCTGTATTTAATTTTCAGAAGTTCAATTATGATACGTCTTATCATGGATTGCCTTGTATTTTTCCTATTTGGGTTTTGTTCACCTTCTTGAATCTGTAGATTATGGCTTTCACTAATTATATAAAGTCTTCAGCTATTATTTCAAATAGCTTTTTATTTCTGCCTTCTTTATTCTATCCTTCGGTGAACCCAGTGAAAGAAATGTTAAATTGTTGCTCTAGCCCCACAGATCCCTGAGGTTCTGATCATGTTTTTGGAGATTTATGTTTGTTTGTTTGTTGTCATTATTATTTAACCTACTTTATCTCTATTGTTCATGTGGGTAATTTCTATTGTCTTGGTTTTTAGTTCACTAATCTTTTACTCAGCCCTACCAATTTTGTCACTGAGCACATCAACTGAGTTTATGTATTAGTTATTTCATTTTTCATTTAAAAATTTTGGTCTGATTCTTTTTCATATATTATCTTAGCGTGTTGAGAATTTATATTTCTTTGCTTCATCTATTATTTATTATTTATTTCTTCTATATGCTTACTTATGTATTGCAACATTTTTGTCATGATTGAAAATACTTGTCAGATGACTCTAGATAACTCTAATATTTCTGACATTTCAGTGTTATCTATTTTTTTAAAATTCAGTTCAAGGTCTTTTTGATTCTTGGTATGATGTGTAATTTTTGTTTGAAAACAGGGCAGTTTCATATCATATTATGAGACACTGAATCTATGTAAGCCTTCTCTTTTTGCTGGATTTCTCTGACACCACTCCATCATGGAAGGGGTGAGTTGCCTTGCTACTGTCAGGTGGAAGTAGAAGTTTATGTTTCCTAGTCAGGATTTATTGACACCTGTAGAAAGGACTTCTCATTTTTGGGTGGGGATGGGAGTTCCAGATTACCACATGTTCTACACTGACATTGTAATGAGGGTGACCTCAATATACCTGGGTGATAATTAAAATATTGACTCTTCACTAGGTGACCACTGAGGCCAGCTAAGCTGAGACAGAGAGATATGTCATTCCTGTACAGTCAGGTTGGAAGTCCAGTATCTCAGTGTTATTTCCACTGACACCATTGGTAGGAGGTGTAGCTTCATAAACTGTCAGTGGGGTTGACTATCCCAGTGTATTATCTATTCTTCTCTGACACTAACTTAGCAGAGATTTTGGGATGCTTCATAACAGCCTCAGGAAGGTAAAAAGTTTCTCCACTTAACCTTAACTAATATGGATGGTGGTGAGGCCATAGTTTTTGTTTGTTTGTTTGTTTGGTTTTTTCCTGTGGTCTTTGATTGGAATTGAGTAGGTATTGTCTAGAAGTTTTCTGTCTTGCTGGGCTATCACTTTCTTGGTCACTGGCTAGAGAGATGTGGCTTCCCTTATTTTGTTTTTTTGTTGTTGTTATTGTTGTTGTTGTTGCTTTTTTAAAACTTGTTTTATAGTCTCTATTGGCATTTCTAGGTTACTCCTTCTTCAGCTCCAAGTCTAGAATATGTAAGGCAAAAAGAAAACACAGAAAGCTCACCATTGTGTTATTCCTTACATCTCAAGTTTTTTAGGCAGTCATTTTCTTTATCTTTCATAAGCTTCTTAAGTTGTTTTGTATGTGTAATACCCAAATATTTTGGCCATACATTGTAGACAGAATAGGAAAATAAACATCTACTCTATTTTCCTGAGAGATACAAAGCAAATTCATTGTTAAGCATAATACCAAACTTTACCATATAACAGAAAATAATATATAACCATTAGAAATCAGATTAGAAATTCTTTCTGTAATCTCATGAAATTTCAAACTGATTAGAATAAAATGGAATTGAATCAATTCAAAATAGACTAAAGAATTAAACATAAGACCTGAAGTTGTAAAACTGCTAGAAAGAAACATAAGAGAAAAGCCCCATGATACTGGTCTTGGCAAAGCTTTTTTGCATATAATCCCAGAAGCACAATCAACAAAAGCTCAAATAGAGAAACGAAATTACATCAAACTAAGAATTTTCTGCACAGCCAAGGGAAGAAGCAGCAGAGTGAAGAGGCAACCTATAGAATGAGAGAAAATGTTTCCTAGCCAAATATCAGATAAGGAGCTAATGTCCAAAATACATAAAGAACACAATTCAATAAAAAGAAAATAGGTAACCAGATTTTAAAGCGGTAAAATGACCTGTTTGGATATTTATCAAAAGAAGACTAACAGACGGCCACAGTTATATGATAAGCAGTTGAACACCACTAATCATCAGGAACACGCAAATTAAAACCACAATAAAATATCACCTCACACTTGTTAAAATGGATATTATCAAAAGGATGAACTATAACAAGTGGTAGAAAAGATGTCAAGACAAGAGAAACCCTTGTACACTGTCGGTATAAATGTAAGTAACTGTAGCCATTATGAAAAAGAGTATGGAGGTTCCTCCAAAAATTAAAAATGGATCCACTGTATCATCCAGCAATCCCTCTTCTGGATATACATAAAAAGGATATGAAATAAGTATATCAAAGAGATATTTGCACTCCCAAGTTAATTACAGTATTATTTAGAATAACCAAGATATAGAATCAACCTGTGTCCATCAAGAGATGAATGGATAAAGAAAATGTGTTGTAGATGCCCAAGAGAATATAATTCAACCTTAAAACAGAAGAAAATCCTATAATTTCTGACAATATGGATGAACCTGAAGGGCATTTTAAGTAAAATATGCCAGGCACAGAAAGAGCAATATCACATGATCCCACTTACATATGGAATCTACAGAAGTGGAACTCATAGAAACAGAGTGTAAAACGGTGCTTTCCAAAGACCAGGGAATGAGGGTATTGTGAAAAAAATGGTCAAAATTTTAGTTAAACAGAGGAATAAGTTTGAGAAATCTATCATTATGTCATGGTGACTACAATAAATAACAATATGTTGTATACTTCAAAATTGCTAAGAGAGTACATTTTAAGTTTTCTCACCACAAAAAATGTAAGGTAATGCATATATTAAATAACTCACTTTAGCTATTACACAATAAATATATCAAAATATTATATTTTACACCAAAAACAGACACAATTATGACTTGTCAATTAAAACATAAATTTAAATAATTGAGAGTATTTGAAACAGAAGATGATAAAGTTAAAACACTTAGAAAAAGGGTTAAGAAATAATTGTATTGACAGTATATAAAACATTGTGATAACTTATCTCTGTGAGTTACATCCAGTACAAAATTTTGCTTGACTTTTAGTAGAAGGCATGGTATTTAATCAAAAATAGGAAGAGAGAGAGAGAGACAGAAAGAGAGAAAGAAAAAGGAAGGAAGGAAAGGAGGGAGGGAGGGGAGGGAGGGAGGGAAAGAAAAAGAAAGAAGAAAGAGAGGAAGAAAGGAAGGAAAGAAGGAAGGAAAGAAGCAAAGAAGGAAGGAAGGGAGAGAAGAGAAAGAAAAGGAAAGAGAAAGAAAGAAAGAAATGAAAGAAAGAAGGAAAGAAAGAAAGAAAGGAAATAGAAAGAGAAAAAGAATAAGAAAAAGAAAGAAAAGGAAGAGAAAAAAGAAAGAAGCCAGAAAAATTTTCCTACAAGACTATCTTCAGTCAGATACCTTCAAAACTTCCAAGTGGACATGATAGAGAGAGAATGAGACCTCTACATATCGGTTTTGAAATACAATTATTCTCTTAAATTATGTTTCTGTGACTCATCTAAGGAATACAATTTAAGAAAGTATATATAAGAAGGTTGGTTTCATTTTTAAAGCATGACAATATAAATTATGCCCTAAAATGAGTTACAAGTTACTAGCTATAATTCACAAAAGGTTAGGCAAATGAGGCAATTTTTAGTAACTTGGAAAAGTTACTAAAGTTACTAGCTCTCTAGCTAGTACAGAGGTGACACTGGGCGTTAGATTCATCCCAACTAATTCAGAGCAATTTGCTCTTACTCCATGCAGTGCTCTGATGTAGATTTCAAGGACTTTAGGAAGGAAAAGCGGACACTTCAGTTTTTTTGGACAAGGAAGGGAGGAAGGAGGACAAGTAAATTATAAATCAGATACAGGCTCAACAAGATTAAAACATAAATGCTGACCACAGTTAGTTTTTATTTACAAATGTATTTTAATGTTATACAAAATTAAATGCTTAGAAAAATGTATAACTAATATAGAAAACACCCATAATCCTACCACCCATATTTAAAAAGTTTATTTCAGAAATAAATATTAAAAATACTTCTAAGGAACACTCTAATCTTTCCACATTCCAAACATTCTCCTAAATTTTTTATATGTACTTCTTGTTATGCTTTTTCTTTCTTATGCCTGAATCTATTAACTATATATGGTATTATCTTATGAGTTTTTAAGTTTTAGATTTTCTGTAACATATATATTACTGCATATATTATTCTGAAGTATGTTTTCCCCCAAATTAAGTTTTTGAGGTTCATTTATGTTGACATGCATAGCTCTAAGTCATTCTCTTTAGCTACACTGTAGTTTTCAATTATATGATTATACCACTATTCATCTGTTCTACTAATTGATGAATGTTTGGCTTGTTCTTTATTAAAAATTTTATGTCACAATAAATTAATATTCTTGTATAGATCTTTCTTTTTAACATGAAGAAAAGGCTCTCTTGAGTATATATGGAAAGAGAATTACTGAGCATAGAGTACATAGACTTTAACTCTTGTTGATATTTCCAAATTAAGTTCTAAAGCACTGTAACAATTCACTTTTATCAGTAAGTTTTGAGAGTTCTTGCTGATCATGATCAAAAATAATCGGCATCATGTTATTAAAAATGTATGTAAAATATTCTAATATTGTTTTAAAAATTAATATTGTTGATTATTACAATATTTTGTACAACATCTACAAAGTTTTTGAATGTTATATTTTTAGAGAATGTGAAGCATTCACATCTTCTGACTTAAGTTCCCATATTTAGCCTACTTTTCTATTAGTCTTCATTTTGACTTATAAATCTTATTTATTTATTGTAATTATCTATACTAAGTTAGCCGTATGAATTGTAGTTCTCTTCCCCCAAGTTGTTAATGTTCTTACATTTTATTTGCTTAAATATTTTTCTAGTCCAATGCCATATGTGTTCTTTTATACATTTTCCGTAAATAATTTTATTTCTGTTTTGAAATAATTGAAAATACAGAAACATTAATGAAAAATTTCAGAGAACTCACAAGCCCTTAGCCCAGATGCATTTGTTGATCTCTCTTTCTCTCTCTCTCTCATACATAGTCACACACACATATATGCATACTTTAAAACCTTCTGATCCCTTTTAGGTTAGGTTTCATTAATATATATTGTACACTTTTAGGCTAAACTCCTCTCCAAATTTTTATTATTTTGCGTTATGACCAAC
Organism: Homo sapiens; assembly: GCF_000001405.40. Classification (NCBI taxonomy): domain Eukaryota; kingdom Metazoa; phylum Chordata; class Mammalia; order Primates; family Hominidae; genus Homo; species Homo sapiens. The sequence continues at coordinate 103,805,804 of NC_000003.12, forward strand.
AATATATAAGAGTGACTTGTCAACACAGTCTTACCAACAGAAATGACTGTCAAGCTTTTGAACCTTATGAGTGAGAAATGATATTTCAATACCGTCTTTTTAAAGTTGTTTTAAAATTTCAACTTTTATTTTAGATTCAGGGGGTACATGTGCACATTTGCTGTATGGGTATATCGCATGATGCTGAGATTTGGGATATGAATGTTCCCATCACCCACATAGTAAGCATAGTACCCAACAGTTAGTTTCTCAGTCCTTGTCCTCCTCCGACCCTCCTCAGTCTTGTAATCCTCAGGGTATATTCTTGCCATCATTATGTTCATGTGTGTCCAAAGTTTATCTCTTATTTGCAAGTGACAACATGCTGAATTCGGTTTTCTGTTCCTGCATTAATTTGCTTAGGTAATGACCTGCAGCTTCATCATTGCTGCTGCAAAGGCCATGCCTGCATTGCTTTTTTTGGCTGTGTAATATTCCATGGTATATATGTACCACATTTTCTTTGTCCAGTCCACTCTTGATAGGCAACTAGGTTGTTTTCATGTTTTTGACATTGTGAGTAGTACTGAAATGAACAGAAGAGTGCATGTGTCTTTTTGGTATAATATTTTTAAAATATATACCCAGTAATGAGATTGCCAAGTTGAACGATAGCTCTATTTTTAGTTCCTTGAGAAATCCCCAAACTTCTCCCCATAGTGTCTGAACTAATTTACATTTCCACCATTAGTGTAAAAGCATTCTCTTTATTCTGCAGCTTCCCCAAATTCAACTGTTTTTTGTCTTTTTAGTAAGAGCCACTCTGGTGTAAGATGGTATCTAATTGTGGTTTTGATTTGCACTTATCTGATGGTTAGTGATGTTCAGCATTTTGTATATGTCTGTTGGCTGCTTGTATGTCTTCTTCTCAGAAATGTCTGTTTATGTCTTTTATCCATTTTTAATTGAGTTTTTTGTCAATATTTCGGGTTTTTTTCAATTGTTTTTGAATACTTACTTAGTTATAAGCTCTTCCCCATAACCAATTGATACCCATTATGGTTTTTCCTAGTTTTTTCTCTGGATTCTTACACTTTAGGTATTTCATTTAAATCTTTAATCTATAATGAGTTATTTTTTGTATGTGTATATGATGAAAGGTAGAAGTCGAGTTTCATCCTTCTGCATATAGCTAGCCAGCTAACCCAGCAGCATTTATTGAAAAAAAATTAGCCCGGCGTGGTGGTGGGCACCTGTAGTCCCAGCTACTCAGGAGGCTGAGGAAGGAGAATGGTGTGAAGACAGGAGGCAGAGCTTGCAGTGAGCTGAGATCGCGCCACTGCACTCCAGCCTAGATGACAGTGAGACTCAGTCTCAAAAAAAAAAAAAAATGAAAAGAAAAGAAAATCCTTTCCTCATGGCTTATTTTTGTCAACTTTGTCAAAGATGAGATAGCCATTGGGGTATGTCTTTATTTCCGTGTTCTCTGTTCTGTTCCATTAGCTTACGTTTCTACTTTTGCACCAATACTATGCTGTTTTAGTTTCTGTAGCCTTATAATATAGTTCAAAATCAGGCAATGTGATGCCTCTGGCTTTGTTCTCTTTGCTTACAATTTATTTGGCTATTTGGGCTCATTTTTTCTTCCATATGAATTTTAGAACAGTTTTTTTTTTTAATTCTGTAAAAAATGCCATTGTTAGTTTGATAGAAATAGTGTTGAAGCTGTAGATTGGTTTGGGCAGTATGGCTGTTTTAATAATATTGATTCTTTCAATCCATGAGCATGCAATGTTTTTCCATATTTTTGTGTCATCTATGATTTCTTTCAGCAGCGTTTTGTAGCTCTTATAGAAATATGTCACCTCTTCTGTTACATATATAGCTCCTTGGTTAGGTATTTGTGTGTGTGTGTGTGTGTGTGTGTGTCTTGAAAATAGCATTGCGTTCCTGATTTGGCTCTCAGCCTGAACGTTTTTGGTGTATGGAAGTGCTACAGGGGGGTTTTGGCAAGATGGCAACTAAGTGCAGACAAGTAGAACAGCTCTCAAGAAGAAACTGAGATGACTGTCATGCTTTCAACAGATCTTCAGAGGGAAAGTGGTGAGAGTGGAAAGAGGGAGAACACAGAAGCTGGGCTGAAGGGAGAGAAAGCTGGGAACACATTATGGGGCTATCGCACACCATGACTCATTTTGGACCACAACAACTCCAGGGTAACAGGTGAGTTGAACTGGCAAGAAGCAACCCATTCTCACCACAGGCCTCTGGAACCCCAGCAGGAGGGAACTCCTCAACCACCACAGATACTCAAGGTGGCAGGGAGAGCTGCTTAGGAAGTGGTAAGGGCGGCAAGCCAACTGAGGTGGGCCCCAGAAGGTTTAGAGAGGGAGCATCGGTAGTGAAGCATGGCTAGAGGGATGGCTCAACTTGATCCCATAAGAGAGCCCTAGGGAATCTGTCGAGCCTGACCTCTGCAGAGTGGTTTACATCATCAGACTAGGCTTGTCCAACCTGAGCACCCCTTGATCTGCTGGCCCCAGCCTAGCCATATCTACTTGCAGGGCACTCTTGGGTGTCCTGGGGCCTGCACCATAGCTTCTCTGCCAGTGAACTTCACCTTACTGGTGGAGAGCTCTAACAAGGCAGCCCCTATGGCCACACATCATCCCATATGTTCCCTTCCCATACTGCAGCTTCTCCAAGGCCCACAGCAGCTCCCCATATTGCTATAGTGGTGCTTGTCTGCACAGGCAGGTTTTGCTTTACTTGTCCCTCCAGCATGTGGGAGTGAAGTCTGCTCCCCTTCCCCTGCCAAGCCCCATTGCAGAGGGATCCTTGGAGGACACAGAGCCAGCAAGCCCCACCCCTGCAAGCACCTCACCCTTCTACTAACACTGCCCAGAAAACAGCAGATCCTTTCACACCCTGAGCGATTACTTCTGCTTTCTGGAAACAGAGATGGCACTCAGCCCTGTGTCTGCCAGCACTCTGCCCCCAAGTCAACAACACCTCCAAAGCAACCACTCACATAGTCTCCAGCAATAGACCCCTGCCCCCTCCAGCTGTGTTGCCTCCACCACTGTGGTGAGTGCCCTCAGAAAGGGAGGTACTCTGGCATCCAGTATCACATTGCTGCAGCTGCTGCACCTCAGGCCCCCCAGTGCAGTGGATAACAAACCACAAGGAGCCAGAGACTAAAGCCGGGGCCCAGTACAAGTCCCCCAGAATTATAGTATGCAGTCCAGGAGTTGGGAGCTGAGTTTGACCCACTAAAATCTCCCAGAAATGAAGCTGGTTGGCTAAATCCACCTTACACCACAGTCAAACACTCAAGATCATCAAATAGGATTTAAAAAAAAACAAAACCATCCAAAGATCAGCCGCCTCAAAGATTGAAGGCAGATAAGCCCACGAAGATGAGAAAGATTCAATGCAAGAACACTGAAAACTCAAAAGGTCAGTGTTCCTTCTTTCCTCCAAATGACCACAACACCTCTCCAGCAAGGGTTCTGAACCAGGCTGAGATGGCTGAAATGACAGAAATATTATTCAGAATCTGAATAGAAATGAAAATCATTGAGCTAAGGAAGTACCTTGAAACCCAATTCATGGAAGCTGAAAATCACAATAAAACAATGCAGGAGTTGACAGATGAAATAGCCAGTATAGAAAAGAATGTAACCAACCTGACATAGCTGAAAAATCACCCCAGAAGACTTTCATAATGCAATCACAAGTATTAACAGAACAGACATAGTGGAAGAAAGAATCTCAGAGTTTGAAAACTGGCTTTCTGAAATAAGAGAGGCAGACAAACATAGAAAAAAATGAAAAGGAATGAAGCAAACCTCAGAAAAATATAGGATTATGTAAAGAGACTGAATCCACAACTGATTGTTGTCCTTGAATGAGATGGGGAGAATGGAACGCATATTTCAGGATATCATCCATGAGAACTTCCCCAACCTATCTAGAGAGGCCAACACTCATATTCAAGTAATTCAGAGAACCCCAGTAAGATAATTTACAAGAAGATTATCCTCCGAGACACACAAATATCAGATTCTCCAAGGTCAAAATGAAAGAAAAAAATTTAAAGGTAGCTTGAGAGAAAGGGCAAGTCACTTACAAAGGGAAGTCCATCAAATTAACAGCAGACCTCTCAGCTGAAATCCTGCAAGCCAAAAAAGACTGGGGGACAGTATTGGACATACTTAAAGAAAATAATTTCCAATCCAGAATTTCATATCTGGTGAAACTAAACTTCATAAATAAAGGAAAAATAAGATCATTTTAAAGAAGCAAATGCTGAAGGAATTTGTAACCACCAGACCTGCCATACAAGAGCTCCTACAGGAAGCACTAAATGTGGAAAGGCAAGACTGTTAACACCCACTACAAAAACAAACTGAAGCACATAGATAAATGACACTATAAAGCAACCACATTAACAAGTCTGCAAAATAACCAGCTGACATCATTATGACTGGATCAAATCCACACATATCAATACTAACCTTAAATGCATATGGGCTAAATGCCCCAATTAAAGGACAGAGTGGCAATCTGTATAAAGAACCGAGACCCACTGGTATGCTGTCTTGCAAGAGACCCATCTCATATGCATTACACACATTGGCTCAAAATAAACGGATGAAGAAAAATCTATTAAGCAAACAGAAAACAGAAAAAAGCAGGAGTTGCACTCTTAGTATCTGAGAAAACAGAAGTTAAGCCAACCAAGATCAAAAAGACAAAGAAAAGCATTACATAATAGTAAAGAGTTCAACAAGAAGTTCTAACTAAAAGAGATATTTTCACTTATTTTCCTATATGGATGCCTTTTATTTCTTTCTCTTTCCTGATTTTTCTGGCCAGGACTTCCAGTACTATGTTGAAGAGGAGTGGTGAGAGTGAGCATTCTTGTTTTGTTCCAGTTCTCAAGAGGAATGCTGCCAGCTTTTGCCCATTTAGTGTGATGTGTCAACACAGTCTAATACTTACTTACTTTAGTATGAATGAAGTGAAACATGTTTTCACATTTTTAAAGGTGACTTTGTGTTTCTTTTGCAAATTGTCTGCTAATGTTTTCTACCTAATTTTCTTCATGATTATAATACTTTTTTCCTCTCAATATTTTTTCAGTGTTAGGAATATTAGCCTTTATGTTACATATATCACAAATATATTATCCCCATTGGTAATTGTCTTATGACATTCATAAGTTGTTTTTATTTTGGTCATGCAAAATGTTTGAGATTTTGGAAAAAAATTTATTACTCTTTTCTCTAATTGTATGTGAATTTTCAGCCTTATTTAGAGAACATTTTTAATATTTCAAATTCTGTTTTCTAATAATTTGAAATACTACCTCTATTAGTTTTCTAGAGCTGCTGTAACAAAATATCACAGAGTAGTTGGATCAAACAACATAAATTTATTTTATCACAGTTCTGGAGGTCAGAAGGCCAAGAGTAAGCAACCAGCTGAATTGGTTTCTCTTTGGGTCTCTATCTTTGCAGTTGGCTTACGGATGACCATCTTCTTGTGTCCTCAAGGGTCTTTCCTCTGTACAGACATGGCCCTGTTGTCTCTTTGTCCAAACTTCCTTTGTAGTATACTTTAAACATTGATGGTGTTAGCCAAACTTCATGATTCTTCCTTTTTTAAAGTGTCTTCATAGATATTATTGTCTCTATTTTTTCTATGAAATTTGGTATTAATTAGATCTGGAAATAGAAATCTTACTGACAGTTTTATGAAGTTCTTATTAAATTTATAACTTAGTGAAAACGTAAATATTTTGACCAAAAGCAGATGTGTTTTTATTTCTTCAAGTCTACCTTTTTGTCTTTAGAAATGATTTAGTTTATTCATATAGATTTGAAAATATCTAGTTAAGCTTTTTCCTAAGAATTTTATATTTTTGTTTATTTTTCAACGGGGTCTTCTCTTTCATTGTATCTTTTAAGTGGTTATTATTATAAATTTTTTCATGTTAACTTTATATTCTATTCTCCTGTTGAATTATCTTATTGTTTTAGCCTTTTTAATCCTCTATGTATTTCCAGATATTCATTTGTATCATCTTCAAATTTAAAAAAATATTTATTTCAATTCTTATTTCTTCATTTTTTATACCCACTAACTATAATGAGTAATACCTGTAGTACAATATTAAATATAACTGGAGATTTAGGGCATCTTTGTCTTGTCCCTAACCATAGTGAGAAGGGCTCTAGTGTTTTTCTAATAAGTAGAATGCTGGACTTTAAATTGAGATATATACATACATTTTATAATGTTAAGGAAGTAGCCACTTATTCTTACTTTCCAAAAATCTTAATGAGTAATAAGTGTTGAACAAAGTGAGAATATTTTTTACAGGCTTTAGGAAGATATACTTTTCTCCTTAGAAATATTAGTATAATATATTAAAATATTTCACATTATTGAAATATCTTTGTATTTTTCATATGAACCCACTTCATGTTTTATTTTCTCATTATTATGATTGATTCTGTTTATCAACATTTTATTAAAATATTTTCATCAATATTTATGTATAATATTGGTCTGCATTTCTGTGCCAACTTTATTATCATTAATTATAAATTTTATACTTACTTAATATCATGTGGAAGTTTCTTTCATTTTCTTTTCTCTAACACAATTTATGTACTATTAACACCTTCTTGTCTCTAAAATTTTGGCTTTATGGAATGTAAAACAATTTGAGGCTTTGTGTATATATGCACCCAAATCCGCCTCTGTTTTTAATTATTGAGTAGGGTGTTCCTTTATACATTTTCTTAGTTTTCTGTGTAAATTTATGTACTTAAACTGTTCATCTCCATTGAAGTCAGTTTTTGTCAACTGTTTCCTCCTATGAAGTAATACACATAACCTATGTTTTAAAGTTTATTTGTGTAGTGTGGTGCAAAATTATGTTATGCTTTTTTAAACATATTTATTTTGGGTACCTCATAGTTTATTCTTCATTTATGACTTTTTTCTTTGTCTTCCTTAGTTTAATTAGTTCTCATTGTATTTCTTACTGTTTCATGTATTTCATATCAGAGTTTTTAAATTCTGTGTATTAGATTTTTTGAAAAGTCTAAATGCTCATTTAACTATTTTAAATATTGATTAAGTGTTTTCATTTTCTTCAACTTTGTGAATGGTTTGGGTAGGGTTTTTACTGCATTTTCTCTTTCCTTCTTGTAGTATTTCATAAGGATTTTGATTCTTTCTTTTCCTAGGCATTTCTTTGACACTGTTGCAAGTCCAAAAGTATCCATAGAGGTATAAATCCAGTTGTCATGTGTGACTGTCTGAAAGATATATTTACAAAAATTGTATCGTGGAGTTTAAACTAAGAATCAATAGACATTACAATCATTTCTAATGATATTTTAATTGACAAGTCATATATTTATTTTCATTATTTTAATTATTATTTTAACTTGTTTGGAGTATTGCTGGAAAAGAAAAGTTAACGCACCCTGCCCAAGTTGCTAGTATTTCTTGTGCTGTCACACATACTGTGTGCTACATAATGAAGTGAAATGTAGCGTGTGTATGAGTGTGTGTGTGTAGAGACAGACAAACACACACACACATACACACAGAGAGAAAGAGAGAGAGCTAATTATGTAATTTTAAAACTCTCTATTGGTTTCTTAGCGAAAGCCTTTTGTGGCCCCAAATCTCCCAAACTCCCATTCTTTTCAAAGGGCCAATAAAAAGAAAAACATCCTATAGAAAGGGAAAGGGGTCAAGGGCAGGGTCTCTCTTCAGTTTATACAAAGCCATGGTGCTTCTAAATCAGACCTAGAACGTGCTTGACTTTCTATGAGATAACAAGAAGACCGTGAGCTATGTACTTGCTGACTCTTTTCTTTAAAAGACCTGTTCTATACTGGGCACTGTGGCTCACGCCCTGCATTTTGGGAGGCGGAGGTGGGCGGATCACCTGAGGTTGAGAGCCAGCCTGACCAACATGGAGAAACCCTATCTCTACTAAAAATACGAAATTAGCCGCACGTAATGGTACATGCCTGTAATTCCATCTACTTGGGAGGCTGAGGCAGGAGAATTGCTTCAACCCGGGAGGCAGAGGTTGCCTTGAGCCAAGATTGCGCCATTGCACTCCAGCCTGGGCAACAAGAGTTAAACTCGGTCTCAAAAAAAAAAGAAAAAAAAATCTGTTCTACACTGAACCACACTGGTTGATGTCTGCTAGAGTCTTTTTTTCAGACAATTTGACATCCTGGGATTCACTCAGCTCTCCTGGTGCCAATTCAATTGTAAATTATTATTTGTTGTGCTGGCAGGTCACTAGGTGTGACAATGACCATATGTTTGCTAAATAACTGTATATGGGTCACAGACAAGCCTGACTGAGAAAGTCACTTGGCTACATTAGTGGAGGCAATGTGTGCTTTTAGAGAGTGAAACAAGCTGATGTCAAGAACAAACTTTGAACAGCAGGATATTGTTGACAAATGAGATCTTGTTAGTCTATGAAATCTGACACTAGTAGAAACATGTTATGCTTTTATTTCCTTTAAAAAATATATCCACAATAATGATCAGATGACCTTACTTTCTAGTTTCTGAATGTTTTTAACATTAACTGTAGTTGACCTCTGCAACAAATCCTAGTTGAAGAAGATATATGCTAATTGGCATTAGCAACTTTTAGCAAAATGATTCTTGACATGTTGGATTGCTATTTATCTTTACAGACATCTTTGAGAAAAGTTTGTTAAAATATGTAAATAGAAGCTCAGGTTAAATGTACTTCAATGGAAAATAATTTTTAAGAACTTGAGTAGATAGATTTTAGGAAAGAAAGTGTTGTTGCTGAGTATAATTGAATTGTGTCTGTTATCTATAGCAAATCCACCGAGACTCTTTTAGGAAAAACAATGCATTATCGATTATGTCACTGTACTAATTCTTTCAAGTATATGCAATCTATTATTTTTAAAAGCTACTTACTATAAAGTATCTAAATATTAATATCTCTACCATAAGTTCACTCCAAAATTTATTTGCTGTAGAACTATTCATTGTGGAATACATATGTTAGGATATTGCTGAGTTTAATGGTGCCTCACTTCTGAAAGATTTAACCTAAGCTGACACATTCTGGAAGAGGTACCTAAAACCTTCCTGTTAAGTATGTAAGTTAGTTACTATCTATTTCTTATAGTTCCCTTTTTTCCCCAATTGGTTAAACACACCCATGAATGTATAGCTGATTAATCTCTGTTGAAGAGGGTTTTGTTTTTCTTTTCTGCAATAGGGACGATCATATTTCAGAAAAGAAGAAATTATGCTTTAAAGTAGCTCAATAGCTTTTGTACCTGAATAAGGCACCCCCAAAATGGAAAACATTCGCAAAAGTTATCGCGGCTCTGGGGAGGTTAAATTTGGTTCCTCAGTAAAGGGAGGCATTAAGCCCAGAGCAGCTTCATGGGTAAAGCAAGAATAACTGTTATGCGGAAGCTGTTAGCCTGACAGTAGATTGCTATCTAGGGATTTTCACTCTCTGCTAAGTTCCCTCTCACACTGTGTGAGAAATGGCAGTGGGAGATATTTTAGCTAAGATATAAAGGAAGATGTACATTTTGCACAGTTAAAGGTGTAGAAGATCAGTCAATTCTTTAAAAGCTCCTTGGAAAGCTCAAAGACCACATCGACTTTCCAAATGTTCTATTAGAAGTGTCCCAGATACAACTTATGGTCATATTTCCCCTGAGCTTGTTCTAGAATAAATGCAGTAGGAGTGCATCCTCCTGGCCTCTACAAGTTTAGGGTTTTTCTTGTTTACTGACGATGAGATAAGCATGCTTATATGATATGTACCCTACCTCTTATTGTTCATATATCTTGGTTATGGAATGGTTGAAATTATGTCTTAAAATATAATTGTGTGAAATTTTTCAAGACCATTATGCAGATTATAAAAGTGACTTGGCTGACTGACGAAGGTGACTTTATAATTTATTGTCCAAATTTGAATGTTATGTTATAGAGAATGAAATAGGTAGCTATTAATAATTATGCCTAGAACTACTGTGGCAAACTGGGCCTTACCCAAAACAAAAACAAAAAACAAGCTATATGGTCACCCATTCATAGGTAATGATTTAAATATCTATATTTTTATCAATAATAATTAGGCCTCAGAAATGTCTATTAACCCTTACTAGTAAATGAATTTTAAAATATCAAGGATTTTCTAATTAAACAGTCCTAACTGGGTGGAGCAAAGCTGGGAGGTTGAAGCTTTACTCTAAAAAGAGGTTTCATGCAGTAGTTTCATCCAGTAGCTGGTATTTAAGCTTGAATAAAGCAATGTATTAAGTTGGTTGTAAATGTGAATGAAAAATAGGAAATTCAACAACTTCCTTATTAAACAATATGAAATTAGAGCAGAAAGTCTTAGCTTATAGTTATATTTGAAATTCCTTTTTTGACTTATAATGTGAACATTTAATTTTATATATGTAAATATATTTATCTGGAGAATTAAGTTTTAATATATCATATTTAAAATCCCTCTCCAACTTTAATATTCCGTGATGGCCACTACAAATGATCCGTGACTTTTAATGGTTCAACTTAATTTTCTGACTTTATGATAGTGTGAAATCCACAGGCATTAAGTAGAAACCATAACTTCAAATTTGAAATTTGGTCTTCCAGGTTAGTAAAATGCAGTACAATACTCTGTCAAGATACCGGGCCGTGACAGCGGGCCACAGCATAAAAAATATGCCACAGAAAAAGGTCACGAGGTAATTTATTTGCTTCAAGTTTAAAGGCTCTCCGTCAGCTGGTTAGAAAACCAGCACCCTATCCTCTAGTACACCTTATCGTTACAATCAAGAGTGTAAACAACTGAGACTCTGCAGGGTATCAAATGTATTTTTGACTTATGATGTTTTCAATTTAAAATAGGTTCATTGGAACTTAACCTCATAGTAAATTGAGAAGAATCACCAATTCTGTTTTCCTGGGTATACACGAAGATACTTGGAGATGTTGAACCTTCTAAGAGACAGAGAATTTATTGGAAAGAAACATAGGCAAAGTGAATAAAAGAGAGTTCAAAGTTCTCTGGGATCCTTTATATTCTACCATTGTCTCATATTCATTCCTCACCTAGGTATATTGAACTACTTTAAATTCTCAACACACCTCTTATTCCTGCATGCAGTCTGTTTCCTGCAACAAAAATGTTTTTTTTTTTTTTTTTTGCTCTTCATTCCCTTCAACTTTAGCTTTTCTAACTCCCATTTATCCTTCAAACATTGATCTCCTAATCTCAGTTTGAAACCTGTTTGCCGAAATCTCACAGCACGCTGAGTACAACTCCATCATAACATTTTTCACAAACTCTGTTGTAATTGTTCATCTATTTTATTTCCATACTAAACTTTGAGCTCCACGTATTTTCTACCTCTGTATCACTAGGATCTAACTCAACGCTTTCCATATAGAATGTGTTCAATAAATCACTGACTGAATTAATGAAAAACAATATTCTTCCTTCAAAAAGAAATGAATCTGTAACAACAGAAAAAATATTTCTATAAATGTGTTGCTAAAATATCCATCACGTATATAATCCTGTATGTAAATCAAGGTAAAAATAAGTTAAATTTGTACTTCACTCATGCCATACTTTACAGGATTCCTTGGGATTTATGCTGCTGGAGCTGCTGTGAGTAAAACCGCTCCATAAGGGGAAAAAATGTGCTTATGATGACCAATTCGCTGTGTTAGGCATAATAATTTAGAGACTAAATTGACATTAATGGTTTCCAAGATGGGTCTACTTGTACACTAAATTTTGCTCTGTAGTGTTTTAGGGATGTTTCATTGAATAAAAAAAAATCTATTTTATTTCGTTTTGTGTCCTCATAGCCTCTAAATAAGCATTCCATTTACTTTATTACTTTTTGTAAAACTCACATTCTTTTTTCCAGCACTGTATACTTGCATCTGCACGTCAGCTAATTTTAAATAGCCTTAACATAATCTTTCTTTAAGCAATATTAAATACAATAAAATATCACACACACACACACACACACCAAGAGACACACACCCTCTCCTCACTTACAAAGTCATATGGAATCAGCATTTTATTACTGATCAAGACTGAAACATTGGTTACATAAATATATATAATGGTCAAAACTCATCAAACTTAAAACTTAAATATTTTATTATATGTAAATTATAATTCAATTTTTTAAAAAATTAAATGTTGCTGAGTCACCCTTGAATTTCACTCTTATGTCTAAGTACTCACTCAGTATTTTCACTTGAACGCTGATAGGCAATTCACACTCAATATACTAAAATCCAAACTCTTAATCCCAGCCACTTCCTAAGAAAACTGCTCTTGCCATCTTATTCTTAAATGACAGCTCCATTTCTCTAGCTCCTTAGGTGAAAAATTTGAAACAACATTGATTCCTGTCTATTTCTCACAGACTGCATGCAACCCATGGACTCTCACTACTTGCTCTGCTAACACCCGCGTCCAAGCCATAGCCAATTCTCCCTTATCATTTACAAGGCTCCCCACTTCTATCTTTTGCTTTCTACTGTATTTTCCTAATACACCAGTGGAGTCATATTTTAAAAAGTAGGTCAGATCATGCATTATTTTCTGCTCAAAACCATCCAATGGCATCTATCGAAATAAAAGGGAGAAAAAGGGAAGTTTTTTTTAACCAAATGCTGTCATAACCCTGAGTTATACGTATAACTGACCTCATCCACTTCCCTGACCTCATCACTTGCTATTCTTCCTATCATTACTTTGTTTCAGTCAAATTAGTCTCCTTGCCTTTTCTGAATGTAAAAAAAGGGACTGCCATATCAAGAGCTTTACACGAGTAATCTTTTCCTCAGATAGCCATAGTGCACATAGAAGGTTCTCAATGAATATTTGCTAAAATGAAGAATAAAAGAATATGACTTTTGCATATTAGTTTTCTGTTTAGTTTCATCCCGAAACATTATAATCTCCCAGGAGTTATTCTGGCTCAAACACCAGCTCTGGAAGCACTGGCTGCTTGTTCAACCTAATTAGCATTACTTACAAAGGAAATGTAGAGCAGCTCAGTGCAAGTGTAAAGAAAGCATTAATCAACCTGAGTGCAAAGCTTAAAGGCAAGATAGTAACAGAATCTACTTCTCCACTCCTTTAATTATTCTGGCAGCCACAAACAAAGCAGAATGATGAGAAAGGATGGAGGCACTGGAGAGAGCTCTACCAAGATTCTGTCCCAAGGAAGTCGTTCTTTCTCTCATTTCCTTCCAAGTTTTTGGCACTTCCTCCCTATTCATTTCTCCAATCCTATATGCATCTAAATAAATAGTTCTAAATCTCTGCAAAGTGAACTCAATCACTCTAGAGGGGAAAGTGCCTGCATTCTAAAATTTAAAAAGCCTGGCTTATTTAAATTAAATGAAAACAAAATTGCATTCAGTGCTTTGCACAGATAGAAGGGAGGAGCAAGAAGCCTAAAACAGTATGATGCATCTGAGCATGCATTAAGACTAACTTTCTCTCTTCACTGCCGGTTCTTCCAGTCCTTAATTCATTTAATATTAGTACTAAAGTATAATTTTCAAAAGAGATAAACTTATGACTCACATACAAATATAAAATGAACACTTGTCAAATATTTGGTCAACTAATTAATGAATGAACCAATAGACATGAAAATCAGTTCAAATGAGAGTTTAATTACAGAAATTTGTATTCTCTATGGCATACAATTCATTCACGTCGCCAAAAACATGAATAATTCTAATTGTTGTCAGCATCAGTGTATTTTACAAGTTATCTTCTACCTCTAGAGCTGTTAAATTGCTAGTCAAAGGCAAAGTGGCACACCTCTATGGAATCAAATAATCTCCAGACAATTCACTGAACAAAGCAAGCCTGCACTCAAAAGAAAACAGGATTTCATTTTGCCCATTTTCAAGTCATTGGCAATTTTTCCTGACATTAAAAAAAAATACGTTACCTTACTTAAACATAGTAACTTTCTAAAAACACATTGTGCTGAAAAATCCTCTGAACAGGAAACTACTTTAGACATCTTTATTATATCAAGACAACAATGTGCACTTTTTTTTTTCCAGACTCTCCTTTGACTTGTGACTTTTAAAAATTTACTCTCTAGAGGCCCGATTTTAAAAAAAGAAAACAATTCTACTCTTCATTGTCACAGTGAAACAACCATTTGTCATCAGCCTGTGACTGCAAAAATGGTGGGAAAGCAATAAGAAAAAGGCTACAGTAATGCTTTATTTACATTTATTGTTTTCCATTTTTCATTTTCATGTGTCTAAATCTCGAGTGTTTCTACTAAGAGAAGAAATGGTCTTTTCTCTTCGGAAAAAGTAAACTCACTGAACAATGCCACATACATTGTACAATACTGTTCTCAGAGTTGCACTAAGACACACATAAACATAAATACCTCCATTCTCAAGAGACTGTTATTTTAGTGTTAGACACAGGGTTGCCTGTGAGCATTTGGATTTTACAGTTTTTCATGATTGCAAATCAAGTAAGGTTTAGAATTGTATATAAAGTTTAAACTCCTTCTCACTCTAATGGCTTAGAAAATATCTTTAACAATAAGTAAATAAATTAATAAGGAAACTCTATAAAAATTTTAATCTTTTCAAAAATATCAAAATTTGAAATAAGTTGTCCCATAACACCATCACCACCAACAACAACATAACATGAAATTCATTTGATAACTTAGCCTCGATTTTAATTCTAGACAATTTTTTACTGAAGATCAAATCTTGGAAACGGTTTCACAGATCATTATTATTTGCTGAGCATACACTCATTTTCCTGTTTCACCATTTTAAAACCAGTTAAACACCTTCTTTCTATGAGGACATATTTACATCTTCTCCTGCCCTATGATGAATTTTCCTTGGGGTAACATACGCTCCTTGAATTTGTTTTTGTTTTGTTTTAGACAGAGTCTCAGTCTGCCGCTCAGGCTGCAGTGCAATAGTGCAATCACAGATTATGGAAGCATTGATCTCCCAGGCTGAAGTGAGCCTCCAGGCTCAAGCAATCTTCCTGCCTCAGTCTCGTGAGTAGTTGGAACTACACCTACACACCACCAAGCCCTGAGGACTCGCTATATTGCCCAGGTTGGTCTCGAACTCCATAGCTCAAGTGATCCTCCTGCCTCGGCCTTCCAAAGTGCTGGGATTATAGGCATGAGGCATGGTGCTCAGCCTCCCTGATTTGTTCTTATTCCACTTGGGGATAATAGGAAGGATACATAGAGTTCACATGAATTTACATCAAATCATCTATATTGCTATCAACAGCCAGTCTTTTTGATGCTAACATCAGTTCCATCATGTTTTATGAACTTAACATCTTACTCATTTCATTTTGCTTTTAGTTTTTCAATTGTGTGCTTGTTATTCAGTTATCTTATGATATAATTACTATTTCAATTTAATCCTGACAGATGTTCTTGTAAAATTGAATAAATATTGCATGCATCATTCATTATTTCTTGATATGCCAACAATCCATGATGATAATAAATATTTAAATCTGTTAAAGTACATTTAAAATCTTATTTATGGTTATACCTACACATTCCCATGTAAGTAAAAGCAGATATCCACAGAAAGATGAGATGCCTCTTGAATGCCAAAGATTATACAAATCTATACTATATGTATACTATTCCATACAAATATAGCCATTTAAAAATATATGATTAAAACCTAAGATATTAAGAAAAATAAAAAATAAAATTTTCTATTAATAACATTAAACTTGATTAGTTTCTATTTCTCCCAGTACCTAATGTTGTGAAGAAAAATGATCACTGCTATGAAAAATAGAGAAGACAAAATAATCAGCATGATCAAAACAATATTGAATGATTTACTTTTATAAATTGTTGGACTTCAGTGAATCAAAATGTGACATTTTGGGGAGGTTAGGCCAGTTTTATGACTGGCCTAACTAGGAAGAAAATAGATAATGGCTGGCTGAGATTCTATAATTTTAAAGTAATGATTAAAAAGTAATTTGTTTGTGTTCATTAGCTTTGCAAAAGGAATTTCTTAGCTGACTAGGTGGAGTCTAGAAATTTTCACTTGTAAATGTACTGCTTATTGTTTAAATGCTAATACTTATGGAAAGGTATAAAAGAAAAGTTAATTGTACTTACTGAGACATTTAGCTATCTCAAAGATTAGCAATTCTGGTAATTAAAAGCTATGAGGCAGTGTCCCTGAAATTTACGTGATATCCAAGTGTAATTTAATGTAATGATTTTTACTGGATTCTGTACCAATGTGTGTTATATTTATTTTAATGTTATTTTAAAATGAATGAACATAACAATAGACACAAAGCACTTCTTAGTATAATTTTAAATAACTGTGAAGCAAATTTCAAATTAAATATAAATAATTTGGCAAAACCAACTAAATTCAATTAACGCGCCGTATTTCTTGTAGTAGATATATTTTTCTCCCCTAAAGCAGTTCACCATTGTTGAAGTTAAAAAAAATAGTAGTATCAAGTTCAGGTTTAGATTAATTGTGATTCTTTATGTTGACTTTAGTAAAATTAAGGCAGAAAGTGCCTACTAACATAGATATACTGTACAGATCATTATTAATAACTTAAAATATGTTTGCTAGTTTCAAATAATTGCAATATACTTTTCCCATGAGCAGCTATCAATGGCTAACTTTAACAAGCTGTCTCTAAAAACTGTCTCACTCGCCCTAAGATAAATTTAGCTATATTGCTTTACTGAAATTTACATTAAGTGCTGATCTAATCCAATTATGGCTAGTGTCATGGCCGTAACATTTATTCATTTTACATTGACTGAAATATTTATTGTCAATGTACTTTCACAAGTTAGGATCTAAAAACAATATGATCAACATATTATTTTGCTAGTAGTGTGAACGTAGTAGTGATGATGATAGAATAGATTTCCTTGAATTTGATATACCTCTTTTAGGCACAATATGACGGCTTAATTTTTCCAGTATTTTTTTCTATTTGAACAATTGAACTAACTATAATTGCAAAGAACCTCTTTGGTCTACATATACTGCAAAAGTGATGGTAATCCTCAACTGAATAATTCATGAAGATATTTAATGATTTTATGTTTATTCCAATAATGATTACTACATGCATACCATTGATGTTTATGGGGATAAAAATAAGAAGTTTTATAAAAGTTCTTATAGACAATTCACAAACCCTTGAAAATATATTCAAATATTCCCAGAAGCCCAAAATACTCAATTAGAGAACAACTCCTATGCAGTAGTAGTATACCAGGACAAATGAGTTCCTGTATTGAATTGATGACAGTTGAGATATGGAAAGAATAAAAAGATCAGGAACAAAAGACTCCAGCTGTAAAATGATTGGTTTGAGTTCAGGATGGGGAATAATACATGTCACAGAAAAATTTCTGGGAAGCCAGAGAGAAATGTTTTGGGCATGTAGAGGCTGTTAGACCAAGAGAGAAAAAAAAAAAGGAAAGAAAAAATAAAGAAAATAGTGAGAGAGAAGGAGAAAACTACCATGTGAGGTAAACTCTGAAGTTAGCCAACTGCTAGTTATTTGAGCACAATCTGAGGAAAAGCAAGGACATAAGTATATTTTGGAGCCTTTTTTTTTAACCAAATAGAAGTTATATTTTAATTGAAAGAATCAGCAACTCTCATCTTTTGCTCTTTCATTTTTGATAGAATCAAATCTATTTATTCTCTGAATGCTCATAACAATACTTTCTAATGATGGAAATCAGCTGAATTATGTAGATTTAATTAAGTATAAGTATAATTAAAGGGAAAAAAATGTGTCACTGAAATAACTTTTAACTTCTCAGTTAAAAAGGAAGACAGTATTCAGGTCAATGTTTCTGGCTGGAGCTATATTAAGAAACTGTTGAGTTTTCAAAAGTTATTTGACCATCTGTCTTTACTTAAGCAGGTTCTAACAGAATAGGTTGTAGGCACAGGACATAATAAGAGTATGAGGAAGTGTTTCAAGAAGATCACCCTGAATTACTTGTTTGAAAAATGTTATAGATTATAGAAATGAATACAATAGAGTTGTTTTACCTTTTTTAAAAGTTCATACTTTCATCTGCAGTATAATGTTAAAATAAAAAATAAAATTATCTATACATATTTCTCATGAATTTGAAATGAGAAATTGGGGTCACAAGATTACTTGTGTTGCTATTTCTTCTGCCAAATTGGAACTTCTCTGTTTTACATATCACCCAAGAGTTCACAATGAATTATTCTAGGCTTGGACAGCTCCTTTTATTGAAATCTCTGAAAATAAATGCAGGAATACTCAGCCAGAAACTCTGAGCGGGTGCTAGCTGACACTGTTAAATAATCTCTTGGCCCAACTTCTTAGTGCCTCCTATGTTCTCTCACAAAATCATGCAGACAGATATCTGTAGCTCAGTAATTCTACAGTTAATGTTAACTCTCAAAAGGCTATAAAAACACTACACCAATTATCTTTATTTAAAAATCTTTCAAACAGCAAAATAGTTGGGATTACATTACAGATTAGTACTGTCTTTTATAAAATCCTTTTATAAATTATGATTTCACTAACATTCATAAAGTCCTTCTACTTGTGATAGATGAGACAGAGTATCATTGCAGCCCTTAAATATTGCCTATGTCTACTAATTAGAATGCTTCCCCAAAAGTGGGTGAGCCTAGTAAAACTATGAAGTGGCATTAACTCTCAGATGACTATGAAAGTTTGGTCTTAAGACAACATCTGCCAATTTTCCTTTTGTGATCTTAGAGCATCGTTACCCAGAGGGAATTTCAATCAAATATTTCTGAGTTTAATGTTTCTGAAGATTACTTTCATAATTATACTATTTGATTCGTGAAATGTTGAAAAGCCTCCTATGCTTCCCAGTCAGAAAGATGAAGATTCACTTCATTCTTCTTCATTCATTAATTCTACTCAGGAAGCAATCAATGCTTTCTGAAGCATATATCTATGCTTATGCGTGTAGGTTCTAGAGTCAGATTACTTGGGAATTAGTCTCTGTTCTATTTTATTTTATTTTATTTTTAGGTTTTGGACTTTTTTTTTTTTTTTTTTTGAGACGAAGTCTCGCCTTGTCCCCCAGGCTGGAGTGCAATAGGCTATCTCGGCTCACTGCAACCGCCACCTCCTGGGTTCAAGCGATTCTCTTGCCTCTGCCTCCCGAGTAACTAGGACTACAGGCGCCTGCCACCACGCCTGGCTAATTTTTGTATTTTTAGTAGAGACAGGGTTTCACCATGTTAGCCAGGCTGGTCTTGAACTCCTGACCTCGGGTGATCCGCCTGCCTTGGCCACCCAAAGTGCTGGGACCACAGGCATGAGCTACTGTGCCTAGCCAGGTTTTGGACATTGACTAGCACAATATACAGAAAGTTATTTGCTATATAATTATTACACAGTACTTCCATTAAAAAGGTTATTGTGCAGGTTAACTGAGCAAATGCATCTCAAACACAGGACAGATCATAATACATAGTGAAGTACTCAGTAACATTAGTTATTATTTTTGTACTACTCTCATGCTTTTCCTATTGGATGAACTTTATATATATTTCATTTATACATCTCACTTAGACAATTGCAAAATGAATTCTGACTAAATGTCTTTAGTATTGTTCTCTCCATTTTAATCAAAAGTTAGAGTGATTATGTAAAGGCTTGAAAATCTCCAATGAATTGTAATATCATTTGAAATAAATATCCCAATATTTATGTTTCCATATAATGCTCTATTATTTCTCAACACTATCCCATAATCTCACTGATTTCTTCCACTGTCTCCTTAGTTCATGCTCACTCCATTCCAGATGCTTTGGCATCATTCCTATTCCTGGAATACACCAACCATACATCAAACTCCAAAGATTTCTTCTTGTTTTCTCTGCTTTCCACATTTGCCCCAGATACACAAATGACTCACTCCTTTACTCCTACATCAACATTTTGTTGTTTGTTGTTTTCAGATGCCAATTTCTTATTTAAATTGTTTTGACCACTTTATTTAAAAAGTGTTCCACAATAAAATTAATTACCTGATAGCCAACCAACCTAATTGTAAAAAAGTGAGAGAGAGCACAAACTACTAATGTTAGAAATAAAGATGTAACACTTCACTACTGATCCCACAGACATTAAAAAACTAGTTAAGAAACACTATAAACAACTCTATGTCCACGCATTTAATAATCAAGGTAAAATGTATACATTTCTTAAAAAACAGTCTGCCAAAATTCATACAAGAAAATATGGACAATTATACTAGACCTACCTTTAGTAAAGATATTGACTCAGTGATTAATAACCTTTCAACAGAAAGTTTTAGGCTCAGATGGATTCACTCATAAATTCTACCAAACATTTAAGTAAGAAATTATACCAAGTCACTGTATTTTTTTCCAGAGGACAGAAGCAGAGAGAATATTTCCTAACTCAATTTATGAAGCCAGCATTACCTTAAAAACAAAACCAGAAAAATACATTACAAGAAAAGAAGGCTACAGACCAATATCTCTCATGAACACAGATGTGACACTTCTCAACAAAATATTAACAAATAGAATCATACAAAGTATGAAAAGAAGTATATACAACAACCAAGTGGGATTTGTTCCAGGTATGAAAATCTGGTTCCCTAATCAAGGATGAATTATTGTAATCTATTACATTAATAGGTTAAAAAATAAAAGTCACAAAATAATACTAATATAAGAAAAGCATTTCACAAAATCCAATACCCATTTATGATAAAAACTAAATTAACTAGAAAGAGGGCAGTTTCACAACTTGCTAAACAATTTCAACAGAAACCTACAGTTAACATCATAAGTAACAGTGAGATACTTAAAGCTTTCATGCTAAGATCAAGGAAAAAGCAAAGATATCCCCAATAACCAATGCTTTTCAACATCATACAGGAATACTGGCTAACACGATAAGACAAGAAAATCAAATAAAACATATTCAGATTTGGAAGGAAGAAATAAAATGTCTTTGTTCACAGATGACATGATAATCAAGATAGAAAATTCCAAAAAAATGTCAAGAAAACTCCTGGAAATAATAAGCAGGTATAGCAATGTTGCAGGATACAGAGGTAATGTACAAAAGTCAATCACTTTTCTATATACCAGAAATAAACAAGTGAAATTCAAAGTTAAACCACAACATCATTTACATTAGCATTCCAAAATTGAAATACTTAGGTATAAGTCTAACAAAGATATGCACAATCTCTATGTGATGAAGACTACAATGCTCTGATAAAAGTAATTAAAGAACAAAATATAAAGATATTTCATGTTCCTGGCTAGAAAGAGTCAATATTATCAAGACGCCATTTTTTCTCCTATTATCAAGAAGTTAGGTTTTGTCAAGAGTCAATATTATCAAGATGCCAGTTTTTCTCAGCTTGATCTATAGTTTCAATGCAATACAATCAAATCCCAGTAAGTTGTTTTGTGGATACTATCAAACTATTTTAAAATTTATATGGATATGTAAATAATGCAGAATAGCTAACACAGTGCTTAGGGAAGAACAAAATTGAAGGACTGACAGTAGTCAGCTTTGAGATTGATTATAAAGCTACAGTCATCAAGACAGTGTGACACTGGCAAAAGAAGAGATAAATATAACAAAAGAACAGATTAAGGAGTCCAAAAATAGACCAATACAAATATAATCAATTGATATTTGACAAAGGAACAAAGGCAATACAATAGAGAAAAGGTAATTCAATCTAGACACAAATCTCATACTCTTGACAAAAATTAACTCAAAATGGATCACAGACAGACCTAAATGTAAAAAGAAAAACTATAAAACTAGAAGATAACATCAGAAAAAATCTCCATGATCTTTGGTGTGTTGATGACTTTCTAATTACAAAACCAAAGGCATGATCACTGAAATAAATAATATATTAATAATAATATATTAAAAAATTTCATAAATTTTTTTAAAGTCTGCTTCATGAAATACACTGTTGAGAGAATTAAAACATAGGTTACAGACTGAAAGAAAACATTTGCAAAAGATATATATGATAAAGGACTATATCCAAAATATACAAAGAACACTCAAAACTCAATAATGAGAAAACAACCTTATCAAAAACTATTCCAAGATCTTAACAGATACATTACCAAAGAAGATATACAGATAGCAAACAAGCACAGAAGAAGATGCTCCATATGTCATCCGAAAAATGCAAATTAAAGCAACAATGAGATACCATTACACATCCATTAGAAAGGCCAAAGTCCAGCACACTGACAACACCAAATGCTGGTGAGGAAATGGAGCAACAGAAACTCTTGTTCATTGAATGGTAATGCAAAATTAAAATTGCACACCATGAAAGACATTTTGGCAGTCTTACAAAACTAAATACATTATTACCATAAAGTTCAGTAATTGTGTTCCTTGGTATACATCCAAAATATTTGAAAATTATATATGAGACTATAATGGTAAATGCATGCTATTATATATTTTCTCACATTCATAGAATGTACAACACCAAGAGCCAATTCTAATGTACACTATGGAATTAGGGTGATAAATAAGTACTGGCTAATCAATTGTAAGAAAGTACCACTCTCCAGGTGGATGTTTATAATGGGGGAGGTTAAGCACATGTAGGGCAAGGGGTATATATAAAATCTCTGTACCTACTGTTCAGTTTTGCTGTGAACCTAAAACTGCTAAAAATTGAGTCTGGTAAAATGCAACAAAACAAAACAGCTTTTCTTGACCAATGCACCACTGTTCCTGTATTTTCCCTTATTTATTTATTTCTATATTACTTGTCACTCTCTAATATACTGTATATTTTCAACTTTGTATATTTTCTTCCAATATTTTTCTTAAAATAGAAAGTTTAAGAAGTCAGAAAGTTTAAGTACTCTTCTGTTCATTTATTTTCTACTGTATCCTGAATACTTAGTGTTTGGCAGTACTTAGACAGTATACCCTAATTTGTTGAATTTTAAATAAATATGTCAATTAAAGTTAATTGAAAGCTTTAATACATCTTCCAAAAAGAAAAGAAAATTTGGCAAGTGGGAAGAAAACAACAATTCCAATATCTTTTCTACCACCCCAAAAATGTAACTGAGAATGCTTTTTTTTTTTTTTTTTTTTTTTTTTTTGAGACGGAGTCTCGCTCTGTCGCCCAGGCTGGAGTGCAGTGGCGGGATCTCGGCTCACTGCAAGCTCCGCCTCCCGGGTTCACGCCATTCTCCTGCCTCAGCCTCCCAAGTAGCTGGGACTACAGGCGCCCGCCACCACGCCCGGCTAATTTTTTGTATTTTTAGTAGAGACGGGGTTTCACCGTTTTAGCCGGGATGGTCTCGATCTCCTGACCTCGTGATCCGCCCGCCTCGGCCTCCCAAAGTGCTGGGATTACAGGCGTGAGCCACCGCGCCCGGCCCAGAGAATGCTTAAATGCGATATATATAATATTCATTTAATCCTCACATTAATCATACATATTAGATGCAGTCATCTTTTTTTTTACCAAAAAACCCCAGAGAGATGTATTTTTTAAAGGTCATATTGAGTGGAACTGTAAAAATGCAAACTCAGAGAGATTTGGCTTCAGACTGAACGATTTTAACCATAGCTCCTCTATTGTGTTTTGGTATATTATCTGTATTTAGAAGGAAGAATTGACCTAGAAATAGGCAACATGGGGTAGAATGAACAAGAGACATTTATCTGGCTCAGAAAATTGGAATAAGTTAGGATTTAAGTGAGAAGAATTATAATAAGGATTCTTAATATATAACCTAGAAAACAGAATGCTGAATTTAATTTTATCTCAGGGAATTTAATAATCATTGAGTAGAATAAAAAACTAGCCTGCAGAACACTTTTACCAGATAGCATAGTGGTGCACAAATAAATTAGTATAAAAATGCACATTGTACACCTTAAATTTATGTAATCTTATTTGTCAATTATACCTTAATAAAGCTAGAAAAATAAATATAAAAAATTAAAAAAAATCAAAATCCTCAAGCATGAGTACACACCCTTCCCTTCCCCTCCCTTCCCCTCCCTTCCCCTCCCTTCCCCTCCCTTCCCCTTCCCTCACCCTCCCTCCCTCCCTTCCTCCTTCTTCTTCTCCTTCTCTTTCTTCTCCTGCTCCTCCTTTCTGTTCTTTTTTACTCTCTCTCACACCTTCTTTTTCCAGTAAGACATACCAAGGCACATAGGCAAATAATTATAAGCAGAGCAGTCTTGCTGAACTCAGGTGAGGTGTGTAGTTTTGCTACCTCCCACAACCACCATCAACCAAGCAACACTTAGCATGATCCCATGTTATTTAATTCTCCTCAGAAATAGAAACAGTCTGGAAACAACCATTTTAAGCACAATTTAAGCTTAAGAGACACATGGTATTATTTATAACCTGCAATCCTCTATATTTCTAATGATTATTTTTATGAGGCTAACCCTAAAATTAATATATCTGTCTAGTGGACATCTTCACACCTCACACAACACCCACATTCTCACCAAAAGTATTCTTTTGCCTAATAACTTTGTTCATGTCTCCCAGATCGTGAATTCTTATACTCAATTTCTCCTTCATCTAGACTACCACAAAAAATGCCAGATGTATCCTTCAGGTATCTTTAAATACAGACACTCCTCTTTTTATACCCTACTTCTATCTCAAGGCCCTATGATTATTAATCTGTATTATTTCCCTGCTTCCAGTCTCTTCTCGATCTGCACACTGCCAACACAGTGATCATTCTAAAACACCTAGTGGATAATAACAGCCTTTCAATGGTGTTCTGTTACCTATAGGACAAAGTCTAATCTCTTTATCAAGGTCTCCAAGTTTTATTAACATACCACTGTATAATTTTTCAAATTATTCTCATAATTTTCTCCCACATTCTGTAATCCAGTCAGAATCATTACATATCTGGATCATGTGATTGTCTTTTTAGGGTACATATTTATTTGCAGGTTTTCTCTTTTAGTTAAATTTTATTACCCACATTTGCTGTCTAATCAATCATGTATGCTATAAAGCCTTCCCTAACTCTATTGTTAAACACCCTCTCGCCAGCCCTTCACTGGGCTCCAGGACAGCTTCCTTTACGCTTCATTATAAACATCAACACATACAATGTAGTTATTCTCCATCAAGAAAATTTTGATGTCAGAAATCATGGGCCATCTTTTCCAAAATATATGGACTGAGTATATACAATTGTCCTTCAGAAAAGAGAGAGTCATTATATATATATGGGTTCTTACAAATTAATCATTTTTCTAATTCATTAAATTTAAAACATCATTTGTTTAAAAAGACACCATTAGCTTACACACTAATAAGAAAGGGAAAAAAGTGTTGCAATTAAGCTATGGCATGTATTGAATATGAGACTCCCCAATCAAAGAATGTTAAAATACAAAAATATGTTATTTGGCCACATAAATATCTTCTTTTGAGAAGTGTATGTTCATATCCTTTGCCCACTTTTTGATGGGGCTGGAGAGGCTGTGGAGAAATAGGAACGCTTTTACACTGTTAGTGGGAATGTAAATTAGTTCAACCATTGTGGAAAACAGTGTGTTGATTTCTAAAGGACCTAGAACCAGAAATACCATTTGATGCAGCAATCCCATTACTGGGTATATACCCAAAGGATTATAAATCACTCTACTATAAAGACATATGCACATGTATGTTTATTGCAGCATTATTTACAATAGCAAAGACTTAGAACAAACCCAAATGCCCAACAATGTTAGACTGGATAAAGAAAATGTGGCTCATATATATCATGGACTACCATGCAGCCATAAAAAAGAATGAGTTCATGTCCTTTGCAGGGTCATGGATGACCCCAGAAGCCATCTCAGCAAACTAACACAGGAATAGTACACCAAACACTGCATTCTCTTACGCATAAGTGGTAGTTGAACAATGAGAACACATGGACACAGGGAGGGGAACATCACATACTGGGGCCTGTCAGGAGGTGTGGGGCAAGGGGAGGGAGAGCATTAGGACAAATACTTAATGCAGGCAGGACTTAAAATCTAGATGACGGGTTGATAGGTGCAACAAACCACCCTGACACATGTATACCTATGTAAAAAACCTGCATGTTCTGTACATGTATCTCAGAACTTAAAGTAAAATTTAAAAATAAAATATACATATATATATATATATATATATATATATATATATATATAAATGATTGTCTTAAAATTGATAAAATATGATACTATATTTTGAATGCTAAATACTGGTCAGGGAGGAAACAATAATCAGAAATGTTTTCAACCAGTTTTAAATTGCTTAAAGAAGATCCTTGTTTAAAATTTTGTTAAATAAAAGGACGGGAGCAAACAAACAACATAGATGTAATTAATTTCAGATTTTCAATCTCACAATTGCAGGTACTTATTATAATTGCAATTAAACATTTTAAATCACTTGAAACAAGTAAAATTCTCTACTACAATATGATAATTATGAATATGCAAATAAAACATAATGTAAAACCACACGAGCAAAAAAAAAAGAAGCCCAACTATCTAATGGTGTTCTAGTGGAAATTGTCAGAAAGAAGATGTTAAAAATTAGAAATTTTAATTTTATCACATATAAATAATATATGATAATTTAAAAGTTATATATAGATATGATGTATATGTTTAAGCATATGATAAAATTATTAAATGAAGAATTTAAGTGGATAGTTCTCTTATTTAACTACATATCTAAAATTTGACTGGGGAATTTAGGGGTTTTTTATTAGGAAGTTATTTTTATTAAAATATTAAATATATAGACATATATGTTAATTTTGAATTTACCGAGCTGAGGCCATTGCCCATGACAAAATGTGTTTTAAAGAAAAGTTTCATTGCTGAAATATATAATTATGCTAAAAACATTTAATTGATACAATAGAAACAAAAGAAACATATTAAGAGATCTGGCATAGTACTTTATTAAAATCAAGTGATTAACTGTGCTAAACATAAGAATATAAAATTAGAGAATTATTTATGTTACTGAAGGGTGCATCTTCAGAAAATTAGAATGAAATACTAGAATATGTAGAGGAAAACACCTGAGAAACACACATATATAATACACACACACACATATAGATAGATAAGCAAATGATAGAGCGATAGATTGATTGATTGATGAGATTGAATTAGCTGCTGTATAAGGAAAAATAGAAAAAAAAATAACTCTTCAATCTGAAGTGCCAATAGGCCAACAGGTGGCATAAAATAAATATCTGCTAAATTACTAGTCATGGCTGAGTTAAACTAAAAGAGATACAGATATACAGACAATTTTAAAATTCCAAGATACAACTTATGTGTAAATGTTTTGGACAACTTCTTACAGCCACATTTACCAGCAGACGGTCTTATTAAAGCATGTGACTGTCCAATGGGTAGCCATGTCAGGAAATTATATAAAGAGAATTATATTCTGCAACAAAAAATATCCCTTGGAACATGCATTGCATTGTAAAAAATGTGTGCTAGAGTGAGTCATATGTTACAAAAGAGATTTGGAGTGAGGTGGTCCTGAACACATAACATAAATATTCCAATAATCAACCCTATTTACTTGAGAGAATTACTAAACATTGAGATTCAGTATTCTCATTGATAAAATCAAGATACTAATAGCTGTTTAAAGTTTTGTTGAGAAGATTAATTACATATAGATACATATAAGATATATATAGATATATAGATATATCTGAAATTCACAAATACACAAAAAGACTAACACACAAAACTTCATAATTATTGTTTCTCTTTGCCTTTGTAATTACAATTATTTATAAACTGATCTAAAAAGCAAACTTCTTCAGAATTTTGAAAGCTTATAAAAATTTGTTTTAAATGTCTTCAATGAAATAAGCCTAAAAAGCACAATTCATAATTAATGTCCAACTTTTTGAAATTAATCTTTATACTCATTTTTCTTGCTCTTTGGTATGCTATATTAATTATCCTTGAAAATTTCTGGCATTTGGAATGGTTTTATATAAATTCTTAACATTCTTACTTTTTCATTTAATATAAATGAACCACTGATGAACTATGAAGATATAAGTGGAGTCTTAGAATGACTATCTGTTTTTATTATTAGGTGAGAAAATAATGTCAAATTTGTTTAAGAGATAGGCTATTGGGTTTCTGATACTTATGAATAATGGAATCGTCATTTGTGAGAGTTAGGACATGAGTGTGTGTGTATTTGTAAGGATAGAGAAGCAAAAAAGAGTTTACCATCAGAGAAAAGCCCAGGACATGAGAGTTTCACTGCTGAAATTTACCAAAAATTTAAAGAACTAATGTCAGTCCTACTCAAACTATTTCAAAAAGGTGAGGAAGAGGAAATACTTACAATCTTATTCTATAATGCCAGCATTACCCAAACACCAAAACCGGACAAAGACACAATAACAATAAAACCTATAGGCCAATATTGTGATGAGTGTAGATTCAAAAATCACAAACAAAATCCTAACGTGAAATTGAACAACATATTAAAAAGGTCATTTACCATGATCAAGTGGAATTATTCCCAGTGATGCAAGAATGGTTAAACATATGCAATGTACACAACATATGCAAATCAATAAACATCACATCAAAAGAATGAAGGCCAAAAAAAGTGATCATTTGAACAGATGCAGAAAAAGCATCCAATAAAATCCAACATCCCTTCATGATACAAAAAAACTGGGTATAGAAGAGCATACCTAACATGATAAAGGCCATATATGACAAATCCACAGATAGAATTTTACCGAATGTGAAAAAAATGAAAACCTTTTCTCTAAGACCTCAGACAATGCAAGGATGCTTGCTTTCATCACGTTTTTCAACACAGTACTAGAAGTCTTACCCAGAGCAATTAGACAGAGAAAGAAATAAAAGGCATTCAAACTGAAAAGGAGGATACATTTTCTTTCTTTGCAAATTACATGATCTTATATATATAGAAAAACCTACAGACACCAGCAAAAAACACCTACAATTGAAGACCAAATTTAGTAAAGTTGTAGAACACAAAACCAACATAGAAAAATTAATAGTTTCTATACACCCATAAAAAAGTAACTGAAAAAGAAGTTAAGAAAGTGATCCTACGTACAACAGCTAAAAAAATAAAATGAGACACTTAGTAACAAATTTATCCAAGAAGGTGAAAAATCTTTACAATAAAAATTATAAAACACTAATAAAATATTAAAGAAAATGCAATAAAATGGAACGATATTCCATATTTATATTTTAGAAGTATCAATATTGATAAAATGTCAACACTACCCAAAACATTCTACAGTTTCAATACAATTCCTATCAAAATACCAATGAACTATCTTCACAGACACAGAAATAGCAATCCTAAAATGTATATAGAAATACAAATAACCAAGAGTTACAAATAGCCAAAGCAATCGTCAATGAAAAGAACACACCTGGAGGCATCACATTACCTGACTTGAAATTACACTACAAATTTATAGTAACCAAAACAGCATGGTACTGGCATCAAAACAGACACGCAGACTAATAAAATTGAATACTGAACCCAGAAATAAATCCATGCATTTCAGTCAACTCATTTTTGACAAAGGTGCAGAAAACATAAATTGAAGAATAGTCTTTTCAAAAAATGGTTCTGGGATAACTGGATATCTGTATGCAAAAGAGTAAAACTATACCTCTATCTCTTACCACATAAAAATATCAAATGAGCATGGATTAAAGAATTAAATGTAATACCAGAAACTATGAAACTACTACAGGAAAACATTGGAGAAAATACCCAGGACATTTGTTCAAGCAAAGATTTCTTGAGTAATACCTCAAAAGCATAAGCAAACAAAGCAAAATTGGACAAATGAAATCATATGAAGCTTCAAAGCTTCTGTACAGCAGAGAAAACAATTGACAAAATGAAGAGACACCCATATAATGGGAAAAACATATTTGCAAACTATTCTACTGACAAAAAGTTAATAACCAGACTATATAAGGAACTCAAATAATCTAATAGCAAAAATAAAACCACAAATATTCTGGTTAAAAAAAATGAGAAAATATCTGAACAGATATTTTCACAAGAAGACATACAAATAGCCAACATGCATATGAAGGAATTCTCAACATCAGTAATAATCAGTAAAAGGCAAACGAAAACTACAGTGAGTTGTCATCCCATCCCACTTAAAATGTCTATTATTAAGAAAGATGAATAATAATGAACACTAGAGAGGATGAGGATAAAGGTGAAAGCATGTACACTGATGGAGGTGTGTATAAATTAGTAGAGCCACTATGGAAAACAATATATAAGTTCCCCAAAAATCTAAAAGTAAAACTACCATATGACGCAGCAATTTCACTGCTACATTCATATCTAAAAATAATAAACAGCATATAAAAGAGGCATCTGCATTCCCATGTTTTTGCAGCACTATTCACAATAGCAAAGGCCTAGAATCAACCAAATTGTCCAACAACAGATGAATGGATAAAGAAAAGAGAGTGCGTATAGACGATGGAATATTATTCAGCCATAAAAAGAGTAGAAACTTTACATTTACAACAACATGGATGGAACTGGAAGACCTTAAGTGAAATAAGTTAGGCACAGAAATACAAATATTGCATGTTCTCACTCATAAAGACTGATGGTTACCAGAGGCTGGGAAGGTAGTGCGAAGGAAAGGATAAAGACTGATTGGTTAATGGGTACAAAAATACAGCTAGAAGAAGAAAGAAGATCTAGTGTTCAGTAGCACAATAGGGCAACTATAGTCAAAAATAAGTTATTGTATATTTCAAAATAATTAAGAACTGGCTTTGAAACATTACCAATACAAAGAAATTATCATTACACATTGTATGATTGTATCAAAATGTCGCATGTACTTCATAAATATGTACAACTATAATGTACCTATGAAAATTAAAAATAAAAAACAAATATGGATGAGAAATAAAGGGTTAAAACAAAACAAGCAACAGTGAAACCAAAAAATCAGCCAAGACACACAAATACAGTTTGAGTAAGTACAAATATTTTCAAAGGATAATGAACATTCACCCCCCATTTAATGCTATATCATCAACATTGCACCTATAAAAGTATGTTATTTTTCAGAATCTCCTCACATTTTACGTATCATAACGTAATGCATGTGTCCCTTTGAGGGATCTAATATCATTTGTGTTTTTAAATATTTTATAATAATTTGTTGTTTCATTTGCCATATGAGTGATTAAAACTTTAAGCCAAAAAGTATCTGAGAAAGGTCTCAATCAATTTTGAGATTTATTTTGCCAAGGTTGAGGATGTGTCTGGGAAAAAGGAACACAAAACCACAGGAACATCTGTGACCCTACTTTTTCCAAAGAGGGTTTTGGGATGTCGATATTTAAATGGGAATGAGAAGGCAGCAGGGGAGAAAGGAAGGAAAAAAAAAAAAGAGAGATAGGAAGGTATATAAAATGGGCAAGAGTTGCATTCATTTGAATCTTTGATCAGCACTCACTGAATATAAATTTTACATGTCAAAGGCAGGGTAGAATACTCATTATGGATTTGTCTCGCACTCAGCAAATATGTTTTTCACATAAGATAAACATAGAGTAGAAGAAGCAGTCAGATATGCATTTGTCTTAGGTGTGGAAAGGAATCATTACCAGTTCTGTCTTTTGTCCTATACCTGTGAAGATAAGCTGTTAATTTACATTGTAAGGGTGAAATTCAACAGAACTGTTTTTGAGTAAAGATCATGGAGCCCACAAGGGATTTCCCTGTGAGTTAATTGTGAGGGAGGTATGTTGTCTTTTATCTCTGTAGTCATCTATTTAGGAACAAAATGGGAGGCAGGTTTGCTCTACTCAGTTCCCATACTTGACTTTTCCCTTTGACATAGTGAGTTCGGGGTCCCAAGATTTTTATTTTCCTTCCACAAAACATTCAGATGTCCCCAGAAGAGACACTTTTTATATCCACCTAAGTACTGCCACATAATTGGAAAAGATAATCCCATATTATTTCCATGCCTCTCTTGACATATGATATCATAATGTATACATTCATTTTTCTTTAATAGGAACAGAGACCTACATTTTCCTTTGTAATGTGGAAAAACAATGTTTTAAATAATTGCACTGTATGAATTCATCAAGTTGCATTCCCAATAAGCCCCAGAATAAAAGGCTGAGTTAATTTATATTAGGTCATTTAGCTTGAGTCCAAGGTATACTTCTCAAGTTGTTTTTTGTTTTGTTTTGTTTTGCTTGTTTGTTTGTTTTTGTCCTTACAGTTGTAGTCCTTAGCTCATTTCATTGTTCATTTGTAGGATTTCCTCTGTCTGGTTTTGACATTCCACGAGCAACTTACCAAAGGACTGACAGTTGTTGAACATGATGCTAACAGAAGCTAACAGAATTTTCACATTGACTTGAGCTGAAAACAAAACATACAAAAAAAAAAAAAAAACTGAATTTATTGTTTTGCTATCAGTGTCAAACTTTTTTGTATTTTCATTACTAAAAAAGTTATAAGTTGACTTATTTTATTCTCATTGTTATGGTTTTAATGTTAACACATATGCTTAAAGGAAACATCACCAAAAATACTTCTTAAATATGAAAATATATAAAAATATATATGTCTTTAGTAATGTTTAAGAGGTGCCAAAGGAGAAAAAAACAAATAATATGTTTACACCAGTTTTTTTCAACTTTAATATGTGCCTTAATATAGTTAGAGAAGTTTAAAAATGTACAAAGAAATCGTTCTTCATTGTTTAAAAGAGCCAGAAACAAAAAGTTCTGTTGACATGGTCAGTATTTTCTTTTCCTAAGAGGCAATAATGGTCATGTTTTGATTGCTACAGTTTCTACCTGCAGAATCTTTCCTAACTCCATCTTCTGCTTGAAATAAGACACCCACATTCCAAGTTGAAGATCAATACCAAGCTGCAAAGAATGCACATAACTTTGGTATTTGTATTAATTTTTTACGTCTACATATATTATTTTCTTGATAAAATGCATGCACAAACAAAAGAAATTATAGAAAGAAGACGGTGTTGTAAATTGTGCATGCATTGTCTCCCAAATATTTTCCTACTTTTTAATTCTAGAAGATGACCAGATTCTAAATTAACTGAATTTCATTCAACAAATTGTTTATTAATGACTGTACTTTAACGGTTGATCCATGGATTTATTTTGTATTCTTTATATGTGTACGCTATAAAAGCTGATCATATTTCTGAATCAGTAAAGGAAGATAAGAACAACAAATGTAGCCAAATTATACAAGGAAGAAAGAAAGAAAGGGTGTGAAGAAAGCAGAGAAAGGGGAAAATACTAAAAAAATTAAATTAAAACTTAATTTAAGTATATATGATCTTGATAAATGGAAACTTGTTCAATTCTCCCAGGTAAAAGAGAACGTATAGATCTTAAATTTAAAAACAAAAAGAAGTTTTATTCTGTTTACAAAAATATTTTTTAAATGAATCAAAATGTTAAAAAAATCCGACAACGATAAAGGGATTTTAACATATGCCAGGTACATTCTAATAAACATACCAAAAATTATATAAAGTGCATAGAGAAAACTTCCCTTCCAGGCTTGATACTTAATGTGCCAATTTTTCCCCTACCTTTCCCTGAAAAAAATAACAAGTGTCCTTAGTTTCTGGGTTATTCCTATACGTTTGCACTACACATATAGAAACACGTATGCAAAAGATACATGTATAGATAAATATGTAGTATATAGCACAGTTTAGTAGTTCTCAAAATGTAATTAACGGAGCCTTGGGAATACCCATTACTCTTTCAGGAGTTTTTTTTTTTTTTTAAATTTTTATTCTGTTTTAATTATATAGTGCGTAATTAAGGAAAGCACTATTTTTCAAATAACCAATGGATGTTATTATAAACAATGTATGAGTAAAATATCCATTTGTGTGCAAGGTAAACCAATAAAATTCAACATAAAAGAGTACAAACTTTTTGTAAATATGATTTTACATTGCAAATAACTTTCAGAAAATAATACTTGTCAACTTTTTATAATGTCAAGTAAAAATTTTTACAATTATCTGACCAAGTTATTAAAATACTATCTTTTCCAACTATATATTTTTTGTGAGGATATACTTTCTTACTACTCTTCAATCAAAACAACATATCACAACAGATTGAATGTAGAAACAAATATGAGTATCCAGTTATCTTCTCTCAAGCCAAAAACTAAAAATATTTTTAAATATGTAAAATAATACCACTCTGTCACTAATGTTTTATTTGGAAAATATAGAGTTTTAAAACAACTATTGTGTTAACATGTAACAGAAATATTATTGTTGCTTTTAAATTACTTAAAATTATATAATTTAAAATTTCTCAAATTTAATTTCTATTGTGATATATATTAGGAAAACAAAAGGTCTTTGGGTCTGCCATAATTTAAAAACTGTAAGGAGGACCTGAAACTAAAATGTTTGAAAGCCATCAGCATAGTGATTAAGAGCATGGTTTCCAGGGTCACATTTCTTGTTTTCACAAGCCAGCTTCACCATTTTCTAGTTAACTGGTTTTGGTTGTTACTAAAGTTCTCTGTGTCATATCCTTGTCTGTTAACATGATAATAATAGAAGCTACCTGGTACTATAATTTGGGAGAAATTTCCCCTATGCTGTGATAGTTAATTTTATGTGTCAACTTAACTGAGTTAATTAACGACAACTGGTAAAATATTATTACTATTGAGTGTGTCTGCAAGGATGTTTCTGGAAGAGATTGGCATTTGTATCAGTAGACTGAGTGAAGAAGATCTACACTCACTAATGTGAAAGTGCATCATTTAATCCATTGAGGGACAAAATAGAAAAAAAAAGCTAGAGGAAGGGTAAATTGTCTGTGTTTTCTTGAATTGGGACATCCATCTCCTCCTACCTTAGGACATGGGAGTTTCTAGTTTTCCCACCATAAGGCCTTAGAACTCCAAGACTTACACCAGAACCACCTCTTGCACCCCAAACATTCTCCCCTACCCCTATTCTCAGGCCTTTTGCCTTAGACTGAGTTGCACCATCAGTATTTCTGGTATTCCAGCTTACAGACAGCGTATCATGAGACTTCTTGGCCTCCATACTCGTGTGAGTCAATTCTCACAAGAAATTTATCCATCCATTAGTCTATTTATCTATCTATCTATCTATCTATCATCTATCATCTATCTATGTATCTCATCTATCTACTATCAATCAATTATCTATCTATCTATCCATCTATTTATCTACCTAGCTACCTACCTACCGACCTACCTACCTACCTACCTACCGACCTACCTACCTGTCTATCCATCCGTCCATCCATCCTATTTGTTCTGTTTCTCTGGAGAACTTCATCCAACACATGTGTGTAAAGTATTTTAATGGTACATGGCACAAAAAAATTGTAACTACAAAATCATGACTTCAGCTTAGATATTAGGAAAGTATAAAAAGGATATATTAAAACCAAAGTAAGTTGAAGAAATTAAGCAATCAAAATAGAAGCAGAAGTTAATTAAATAAAACTGGGTAAATAGATGCATTTCAAAGGTGATTTTGTGAAAAGAAATAAAATTAATATACCTTTAGACAGAATGAAAAAAAGAAAAGAAACACAAATTAACAATATAAGAAATAAAACAGGGAGCAACACTTTGGATACCACAGATATTAAGACTAGTAAGAGAATATTAAAAACAACTTTATGTCAATAAATTTGATAACTTAAAAAAATATGTTTCTTGAAATAGAAAGATTTGTAACACTAACTAAAGAATTAGAAAAACCTTACTGGCTTTATATTAATGTAAAATTAATGAATTTGCCACTATCATCCTCCTAACAAAGAAACCTCCCTGCCTATATGCCTTCAGTGGTGAATCCTGCAAATTACTTAAGGGAGAAACCATACCACTTTTTCATAATCTTTCAGCAAATAGGGGAAGAAAGAAGACTTATAAACTCATTTTATAAGGTCAATGCCAGCCTAAGGTCAAAATTAAATACATTACAAGACAAAAAAAAAGAAAATTTCTCACCAAATTGAATCCAACACTATAAATAAAAAAATATATAATACATTATAGCCAGGTGACATTTATTCCAGGAATAAAATATTATTTTAAATTCCAAATGTAAGTCAATATAATTTCCCATTTTGTACCCACAAAGGCCTTCAATATAAAGTGGGTTGAAGTGATGAGAGAGACTATTTGTTGTTTCTGATCTCAAGAATAATCATTCCATATTTGTTGAGGTCATGTTTGTGTATGGTGTGAGGAGAGCATCAAAGATTGTTTTTCATTTTTTAAAAATGTTTTTGAACACGAATATGTAATGGTCCTAGCACCATTCATTCAACAGACCATCTTTTTCCCCAACATATTTTTGTGGTGTCTCTGTAAAACTCAATTGGGTATTTGTGGGCTCTCAATTTGATCCCACTGATCTATATGTCTATTATTATACCAGCACCACAGTGTCTTGATAACTGTACCTTTATTGTAAGTTTTAAAATTGGATACTGAAAGTCTTCCAATTGTGTTTCCTTCAAGAACATTTTACAATTTTCAGTGTAATAATATTACCCTTATTTTGTTCAATTTACTCCTGAGTACTGTATTATTTTTTATGATTTTTGTGAATAAAAATTTGTATTCCTAATTTCATCATTGTGTTGTTCATTGCTAGTGTGTAGAAATGTAATTCATATTTTATATTGAACTTGTATTCTATGACCCTGCTCTGTTTACTAGGTCTAATTGTTTGCATGTGTCTGTATTCCTTAGGATTTTCTACATATGGAGATAATTCATCTGTTGCTTAAGTCAGATTTTTTATTCTTTTTCAATTCGTATGATTTTCTTTTCTTGATTGCTTTTGCTAAAATTCATGTTAAACAAAAAATGTAAAGATTCTCTTTAACATGTTCTTGTTCTTAGAGGGATAGTATTTACTTATTCAACCAATAAGTAGATTTTTCACAGATGCTCTTTATCAGGTTAAAGAAATTTCCTTGTAGCATGTTTATCATCAATGCTGTTGAATTTGGTCAAATTGTGAAACTTTTGAAATAAAAATGTAGCATTTTTCCTTTATTCAGTTAATATGGTGCATTATGTCAATTGATTTTTTTGATGATAAACCAACCTTATGTTTCTAGGATAAATATCACATGATCATGTTGTATAATCTTTTTTATAGGGTATAGCATTTGATTTGTCAACATTTTGTTGAAAATGTTTGCATCTATGTTTATGAGGGATATTGATCTGTTTTTTTTTTTTCTATTCTTGTTATGTCTGACTGGCTTTGCTATGAGAATAATACTGGAATCAAAAGATTAAAAAATCTTCCTATTTTGTTTATGTCGTGAAAGTATTTTTGAGGAATTATTATTTTTTCTGTAAATGTTTTATACAATTTAGATACCCCACAGCTATCTGATACTGTGGTTTTCCATGTGGAAAATTTTTAAATTACTGGTTCACTTAGTTACTTGTTATTGGTCTATACATATTTTCCTTTTATTAAATCAATTTTGATAATTTGTGAATTTCCAAGATCTTATTTAATTCATGTAAGTTATAAAATTTATTATTCTAAATTTTTTCATAATATTCACTTGCAAATTATTCGCTTCTAAGAAATCAGTTGGAATGCGTCCACTTTCAGGTGTAATTTTTGTTTTCTTGGTGAGTGCAGGTAAAGCTTTGTCATTGTTGTCAGATATTTTTAAAGAACCAACTTTTGGTTTTATTGATTTTCCCTATAATTTGCTATATTCTATTTTAAGCATGTGTTTATTCCTGTTCTAATCTGTATTAGTTCCTTTCTTCTAATTGCCATCAGCTTATGTGTCATAATTGTGCTAGATTTCCTGAAGGTAGAAGCTTACAGAATTAATTTCATATTTTCTTCATTTCTAATTTTCTTGTAAGCATTGTTTGGCTGTATCTTAGAAATTTTAATATGTTACATTTTATTTTCATTTAGTTCAAACTATTTTATAATTCTCTTGTAATTTCTTTTTTGATACACTAATTATTTTAAAATGTACTTAATTTCCAAATGCTTATTAACTTACCAAATTTCAATCAATTGTTAATTTTTAATTTAGCATTTTGTGGTAGAGACCATATATTCTATGATTTTTCTTCTTTTACATTTATTAGGACTTGTTCTAAGGCATAGATTATGGCCTATCTTGGTGAATGTTCCATGAACACTTTATATGAATCTATACTTTTCTGTTTTGGTGCTCACTGTTTTGTAGATGTCTTTTAGGTCAAGTTGGTTGATAGTTCTGTGCAAGTTTTCGAAATACTTGCTGATTTTCTGTCTAGTCATTTTATCAATTATTGTGAATATATTATTGAAATATTCAAGTTTTTATTGCTAAATTTCCTGTTTTTCTTTTCAATTGTCAGTTTTAACTTCATATTTTGTGGGGCTCTGTTGTTGGATTCACATATGCTTATACTTCTGAACTCTTCCTTTTCACCACTATGTAATGCCCTTGGTCTCCAGTGATAATTACCACCTTAATGTCTGTTCTTGTCTGATATTAGTATTGCTACTCTAGCTATGCTAATATTTTGTTACCGTCTGCTTGGCACATTTTTCACCATCCTTTTACCTTTAACATTTTTTTTTTTAATTTAAAGTGAGTTTCTTGTAGACAGCATATATTTGTTAGTTCTTTGAACCTATCTATAGCATCATCATCGTGAAACATTTTGGGCCCTCCTCAAGGCAGTTTCCGTTGAATTATTTTTATTTTCTCATCTATGATCTAAACTTTCCTATTCCTTTGCATGCCTTAACATTTTTCGTTGAAAACTGGACAATATAATAATTTAATGTGGAATGTGGAAAATCTGGAAATTGAATTCTCCTTTCCCTTTCCTGGGTTTGTTGTTGTTGTTATTGCTGTTTGTTTGTTTGTTTTTTGTTTATTTGTTTGGTGCTTTTTTGCTTTGTTTTGTTTTTGTTTTTTTAAGTCTCGCTCTGTCACCCAGGCTGGAGTGCAGTGATGTGATCTTGGCTCACTGCAACCTCTGCCTCCCAGGTTCAAGTGATTCTCGTGCCTCAGCTTCCCAAGTAGTTGGCATTACAGGTGTGTGTCACCATGCCTGGCTAATATTTTTGTGTGTATTTTTAGTAGAGACAGTGTTTCTTTGTGTTGCTCAGGCTGGTCTTGAACTCCTGAGCTCAGGTGATCTGCCTGCCTCAGCCTCTCAAAGTACTAGGAATAGAGGCATGAGCCACCATGCCCAGCCTGCTGTTTGTTTTCTGAGTGCCATTCCTGGACTGATTATGTAATGCTTGTGTTATCTATCATATGCAACCACTGAAGTATCTGCTTGGTTGGGTTAGCTAATGAATGGTCATACATTTCCTTAAATTCCTTGTACCAATAAATACTCCACCTTAGCCAAGAGGTTGTGTGTGTGTGTGTGTGTGTGTGTGTGTGTGTGTGTGTGCGTGTGTGTGTGTTAGGATATACTTTCATTTCTCAGGCAGTTTATAAATCTGCCTTAGCTTTCCCTTATTGCTTGCACAGAGCCTAAAGTCAGCCAGCCAGAGGTAATTGAAGCATCTTACATCTTTCCTGGACAAGCAAATAGCAATATATATGCACACTGCCTCCTCTCTTCTATATCTCTAATAATATGTTAGAGTTTTACAAAGCCCCCTCTGGACATTTAATTCCTAGACCCATCTTTTGAACTTTGGCTAGGTTTTTGTTTGCTCCAACTGGTATCACAGCTTTTGGCAGTTAATCAATTGAAACTGATTGTTTTTAGCGAATGTCCAAGGATAGGACCTTTCCTATAGAGAGTCAAGTCACATTTTGAAAATAGGGCTTTCCAAGGGACTGTAAAATAGATCATGTAGTAACAATGGCTGGGAACAGGGCTTTATAAGGAGCTCCAAACCCGTGTGTTTCCTCCAATGGCTGTTAAGATTGCTAATTTTCACCAGAATCTATTGGTCTTCAAGACTACCATAAAACAGGGTGAGGGGATAAGGGTAGGCCAAGTTAAATGTTTTAAGACCCATCATTCTTACTGAGGTTCAATAGTTTTTCTTGAATTTTTTTTAAAGATTCTTACAGACTTTGAGTTAATTTTCAGAATTCTGAAATAGTAGATTTTAATTTTTTTTAGTACTTTCATTGCTTTTGTTGAGAAGTAGAGTTCTGGGGGTCCATTATCCAAAAGTGTGACCTCCCACTTTAACATTTAATATAATTACCAATATGATTGAATTTATATCTACCATTAGGCTTTTTCTCATTTATTCTTTGTTAATGTTTTTCTCATTTTCTGATTTATTTTGTCTTAATTAGAAAAAAATCTTTGTCTCATAAATATGAAATATATATACTCTACAAGTAAAAAATGCTCTATTTATAAGACTAATTTCTGGATCTATTCTCACCCATGTGCCCAAATTGACAGGTACAAAAATATTCATTAAATTAATGTTTGAAATTTTAAATAATACTAAAAACTAAATTTCAATTGACAGGAGAATAAATAAAGGTGATTTAATTGTGAAACAGCTTACAGTCCAGTAGTGAGAACGAATGAACACAGATACATTTTGAAATTGCAATGTGAAGGAGAGGAAAAGAATCCTGATATCTTGGATACTTCAGAGACAACACTGTTACATGTCTTCCTAGAGCCGGGGCTGTTCTCATTGGCAGATATTTTTACTTAGCTGCTTTTGCCTAAGCCCAGATGCCCTTTTCATTTCATCTGCAAAAGCAACATGGAATAAAACAAAGGTATACTACTTCTCCTGCAGTTTAAAACTGTGTATCCAAACAGACATTAGCCCTTCAATATAGCTCCTTGGGATGATGAGGGCTCAGAGACTGTATATCTTACCTCACCGATTATCTTTGGCGAGAACTGTAAAGGCTCTAAGATTTTACCTTCCTTGCAAGCTAAATTTTAACCTGCTACAATTTCATGAATTTTGATACATGGTCCTGAATCATACAAAAAGGAATTTTTACTCCAATCAGTAGTAGAATCCTGAACGTCAGCAGATTTACACCCTAATTTCCACAGGGTAGCTTGAATTGATCCAGATTATACCTGCTCACATAAAGATTATGTTATGGGAGAGAAACCCTGAGCTTATGAAACCCGATATGTTTTTTTTAATGGGCAGTAAGCATCCCTACACTTCGCACCAGATGGAGATGTTATCTTGATTAAACTGGACAGTGACTATGGCTGCACTTTTACTTTGGAAAATGGCACTATTTTTATTTTCCAAGCCAGTATGAAAACCTGTCCTTTGCACCAAAGAGAGATGTTTTTATTATGTTCCAAGGTTGTACACTCGAGCAACTTTTCTTTTTTTCTTTTTTTTTACAGGGTTTCACTCTGTCACCCAGGCTGGAGTGCGGTGGCAGCATTCTCAGCTCACTGCAGCCTTGACCTCCTGGGCTCAGGTGAGCTACTCAGCCTCCCTAGTAGCTGGAACTGCAGGCATGCATCCTCACACTGTACTAATTTTTGTATTTGTATAGAGACAAGGTTTTGCCATGTTACCCAGGCTGGTATTTTATTAAACTCCTGAGCCCAAGTGATCAACCTGCATTGGTCTCCCAAAGTGCTGGAATTACAGGCATGAGCCACTGCCCCTGGCTTATAGCAATATTTTTGAAAAGATATTCCAAAAGAAAGAACAGCCAGTGATTTGTTAACAAGACATGCAGAAATCTAAG
Source organism: Homo sapiens (assembly GCF_000001405.40). Classification (NCBI taxonomy): domain Eukaryota; kingdom Metazoa; phylum Chordata; class Mammalia; order Primates; family Hominidae; genus Homo; species Homo sapiens. Next base: position 103,847,823 of record NC_000003.12, read on the forward strand.
AGACACAAGAAGCATTGTCTACCAATATTCTGCAAGTCACTTTTGTCAATAAGGTCTCCTTGTTTTCCCTTCATAGCTTGCTGCTTTGATGTATGCATTCTCTCATCACTCTTCAAGTACCGAGTTAAAATATTTTACAAAGGAATATGTATTGCCTACTTCCACTTATCTAAACTTCAATACGTCATGAAATAAACAACATATTAATGAGGGAAAACAATTCGATATAAAACAATAAATAACAACAAACAAAAGACAAAAGTTTCAAGGTATCCCTACCCACTGAGGAGAAGTAGGTATATATAATCAGATTAATTTACCAAAATCCTGTACATTTATGTATATGATTAGTAATATTCTATACTTAAACTAAACACTTAGATAGATTTTCTACTGAGAAAAGTTAGAAACCTCATTTTATATATACTTATCAATATTTAATAAAATGATCTAATTTCTATTTTAATTAAAAAAGATTTTTACAGTACTACTGTCTAGAAGATTTTTTATTTTAATTTAAGAAGTGAAACGTATGGATTTAATTTGCCTGAATATAGTGAGATCAATTTTATTCTATGGTCACAATCTATACTCCCAACATTTAATTTGGTTTTACCAAATTCACACTAGTAATCATAAAAGGAGATAGTAATAAACCTGCTTATCTGGTAAAACTTTAGTGTACCTGTGGAGTTGCTGGTGTTGCCTGTAATCCGTGACTATGAGGTATCCTACATAGGTCAAACTGCTCCACAAATTATTACCTATTATAAAACCAACACAAATATTTTCCACTAACAAGGAGCAGAAGAATGTTACAGAGGGCATGTGATTCTGTTTTAGTAAAGCATGATTCTAATTGGAGTACTATCATTGAGAAATAATCTATTTCCCTGTCTCTTAATCACAACATCTGTAAATTATGAAAATTAAACCTAAGTCTGTAGAACTAAAGCATTTCAGGATTTTATGATTGTGCCTCTGAGGTATAGAACAATGAGAGTTAGAACCAATTTTTCAGAATTAATGATGGTATATTGAGACTATTTTTAAGTTTTTTGCCAACTTATCAACTTATCTTCATACACTTTGTTTTACAATGAAATTATCTAAAAGTCAATTACATTAAGTCTGTACTAAATTTATTAAAAAACACCAAAAATACATCATTTCCTTATTTTCTATTATGTCCCTTCCCCTTCATGTTTATGTATGAGTTTCCTCTTGCTTTCAGAAAACACTTTGCAGTTTCAGTACATCCTTAGGCATCCAAAGACTCTTGGGATGAAAGAAACCATGATAGCCGGGCTCTTGGCATTTAAGAAATAAAAGAAATACCTACTATATGGCTTTATGACAAGTTTTAGGAGACTTATTGCGGTATATTTACAGTAAAATCACACCGAAAGTAGCAACATACTTGAAATCATTGGTAAGGCAGTTTGAAATTTTGTTAATGCAGATATTGCAAAAATTTTACAATGAAACGGTTGAAAAGATTCAAAGTCTCTCTGGTCTTAATATCTGACTTTGGAAAAAACACCATTCGAAATGGAATTTATATAATTATTTTGAAAATCAATAGAATGTATGTGTTTTAAAACACATCTTATCTGTAAAAATATAAGTACTCAGTAATCAATAGCTACTATTCTTTTTTCACATTTCAAAAACTGTGGCTATCAGCAGAAAATTAAGCGAGGCAGATGAGATCACAAATGCTTGTGTGTTTCTGTATGTGATTTCTGAGAAGAATAAAAATATGTTTGAAGACACACGTAAGAGCAATAAAATTAGAAAAAAAATCTGTGCGATGACTGACGTGCCTTAGCTTCAGCAGCTTTTAATTAGAGCATGTTCTACACACTTTAGATTTGATACTGAAAGCAAGTAATATATTCCAACACATTGATGGCATAAGAGATATTAGTTTTGTATTCTACACTTGGTTGATTAGAATAGATTCGCTAACCTCACCTTTTTATTTACCCAAACAAATGTTACCTAGTGAAAAATTAGCATATATAGATGATATCTAGGGGTAACTGCTGTTAAGTTCTTTTTTTTTTTTTTTTCTCTTTTTCTGAGACAGAGTCTCACTCTGTCACCCAGACTGGAGTGCAGTGGCGCAACCTCGGCTCACTGCAACCTCCATCTCCTGGGTTCAAGCGATTCTCTTGCCTCAGCCTCCTTAGTAGCGGAGAATACAGGCTTGCATCACCGTACCCAGCTAATTTTTTTGTATTCTTGCTAGAGAGGGGGTTTCACCATGTTAGCCTGGCTGGTCTCAAACTCCTGACCTCAAGTGATCCACCTGCCTCAGCCTCCCAAAGTGCTAGTATTACAGGCCTGAGCCACCGCACCCAGCCCCATTAAGTCTTAAATAATGTCATTGCTTCAAGTTCTTAGTTTATGAAGCAGGCACAGTATCAAAGTCAGCCAGAATATAGAATTTTGCAAATTTGGTGAAAGGATTTGATTGTTTAATATGTTTAATTAAATTGCATGGGTTCTTTGTATCTCATTTGAAAGACAAATATATTTCTATTTTATTTTTGCACTCTTTGGCAAAACATAGTGATGAAACATATGTTGTACTCATCAAAATGGAAAAACTAAGAAGAACAAACAAAAGTCCATAGTCCTAGGTTTTTAATAATTAAGCATTGTTTAATCATCATATTTACAAGTAGAAAGATTTTAAGTTTTTAGAATGAAAGAAAAGTTGTTTTCCAAATATTTTCTGTTCAAATCTTAATGATACATGCAAAGTCCATTTAGTGTACTGCGGACTAATTAATTCCCTTTAAAATTTTAGTGTTAAATTACAGCTTTTATTTAATTGTGGAACAATAATTCAGACACAAAACAAATTTTAATAGTTTATTATCCATGGCCTAGGTCATCTCAATCACAGATTAATATGAAGGATAACTAGAGCTTGACATTGTCAGTAACATTTCTGAAAATTTACATTTGTCAGAATTTAATTCACATCAACATTCTACTTGTGCAAAGATAAACCTACTGCGAAGAAAAAACATTACTAAGCTGTGACATTTCTAAGATGACCCTGCTTTCACCTGGTTATATAGGTTCCACAGCTAGAAAGGCCTGTGGAGTTTACGTAGTCTTCCAAACTATAGATTTGGAAAACAAGGAGAAAACAGGCAAATTATCAGTTTAAGTCTCTGTATTCTGAGAACTAGGCCCAGAAAAAGTGTTGAAACCTGTTTCTCATTCTCTTTAGCTGTATGGTCTTTGGCAAAATATCTGAACTTTTTAAGTGTTAATTACTTCATTAGTGAAATGAAGACAAGAGATTTTAACTGAAAGCATATAGGGACTATTAATGGAGATAATGTTTATAAAGCACTTACAACATTACCTGGGCATCGTAAACACTCAATAAATGCAAGTTTCTAAAAGCCACGTGCACATACAACTTTATCAGACCTTCTTTAAATTATGTGACACTCCTTATTTCTTGATAAAAGATAAGGCACAGATTAGAGCACCATTTCTCAAACTTTAATGCTGATCTCTTTAAAAATGAAGATTCTAATTCATTTTGACGGTGGTGGAAACCTGAGTTACTTTGTTTCTAATAAGTTAACTGGTAATGTTGATACCTCTAGTCCCGGGACCACGCTTTAAGGAGCAAGGCATTCGAGTTTACTATGTTTTAAAATGTGCATTAATTACAGAGAGCCCCATAGTTCACAGGCAAATGCCCTGGTATCCTGTAAAATGATCCATTTGAAGGATGCTTAAAGATTATGGGAGGTGATATGAGTTGTGGAAAGCAAAGGACTAACTTTTGCTTTCTTCTCAGTTTCAGATTACTTCTTCTATGGATGCTGTGGGGATATTCCAAAAATCTGCTCTCTATGGATGGATGGCAGTGTGTTATTTGGCAAGGATTTTTTACTGCAATTCCTCCCATGCTCTGTAGGTATGCCAAAATAAAGAAAATAAAACCACTTTTAACTGACAAAGTCTGGCTTACTTGTAGAAAATATTTTGGAATGTGTTTTAGACTTTTGAATGTCTAAACACTTTTTTCACCAAAAAAAATTATTTAAAAAACAATCTATATCCAGGAGCTGTCAATTGTTTGTCACAGACAAAATCATTCTACACAGAACAGTAAAACACATTTCATATCATATAAATTTAATTATGCTAAATTTAATTTACTTTACTTTACATGTGGACAGGCTCAATTTTATTCCACATAGAAAAAAATATTTGAACTTAACTATTTCAGGGAAGCATTTCTAACAACATTTGGTTCAAATGTTATTTTTTAGAAAATTATTTCCTGTGGTGTTTGTATAATCAGATATCTAGAACCTGCTAGTTTGATATAGCCTAAGGAGTTTAGCCTTCCTGTTCACCTCTCTTCTCCCAACCAGCAGTAGAAACACAGAGACCAAAGCATAAAGAATTTCAGGGTTTGGGCTGCTTTTTGACTTATATCCTCTGTGTTCAGAGCATTTCTTTTTTTTTTTTTTTTTCTTTTGAGACGGAGTCTCGCTCTGTCGCCCAGGTTGGAGTCCAGTGGCGCGATCTGGGCTCACTGCAAGCTCCGCCTCCCGGGTTCTCGCCATTCTCCTGCCTCAGCCTCCCGAGTAGCTGGGACTGCAGGTGCCCGCCGCTACGCCCGGCTAATTTTTTTGTATTTTTAGTAGAGACGGGGTTTCACCGTGTTAGCCAGGATGGTCTCGATCTCCTGACCCCGTGATCCGCCCACCTCGGCCTCCCAAAGTGCTGGGATTACAGGTGTGAGCCACCGCGCCCAGCCCAGAGCATTTCTTTTTATTTACAACTTCAGAAGAAAAATCAAACAAAAGCAAAAGAATAGAAAAACAGAGAAACATTCCATAAGCTTGCATTGTCAATCATGGAATTTAGAGCTGATAAGAACAGAGATTTATTCTCCTCTCCCACTGCATAGACGAGTTTCCACTGTAGTAACATGTAAGCTTTATGAGGGCAGAGATATTGTCCTGTCCACTGATAAATTATTCATAGACAAGATAGTGCCTAGAAAACAATATTTGTTGGATGAATAAATGTTCATTCAGGAACAACTAGAAAAACAAAAGCCCATACAAGGAATGAAAAATGACAAATACACAGACCATGAAAAGTAAACTTATGTAAACTGTGACACAGGTTTGAATGACCCTCATTTGAAGAAGATATTTTATAAACTCTAACAACTAAGAGTGAATATTATTAAAAAGTGATTTTATTTCAGCACAGTCATTTCCTATAAATAAATGTATCTAAGGTACATCATAGGGAGGCCTATTAACATTTGTAACAAAAATTTAGATACATTTATTATTTAATTCATGTAACTGAAAGAAAACGTGTGCCTTTAAATGTAAAACCATATAGCCCAATAGCTGAAATTTATTATAATTCTTTTTATATTAATATACATAATTCCATTATAACAAAAATTTGGATATGTCAAATGTTGCAATAAAAATATGAGAACTCTAAAAATACTGGACTGTCATTTCCTAAAAAATACCTTCATTGAACTTTTTCTCAAAAGACATCCACTTTCCTATGCTTTGCTATAGTATTGATTGATTGCTTTGAAACACGCACACATTCTCCATAGGCATACTTGGTGTTCAACTGCAAGATTGACAGTAAGTAAAGTCTGAAGTCCCTGACTGTAAAACTGAGGCATTTAGTTTTTCCAAGCTGATTTAGGTCTAAAGTGTAGCTCCTTTAATACTATGGTATAACCAACTGTAGTAAATTGTTAGACACAATGGTTAACACAGGTATAGAAATAGTTTGTAAGATTAATACTCTTATATTAATCATAATGATGATCATCATTGTCCTGATCAGAATTGTGATAGTTATGAGTTGGTCATTTAATTGTGACTGTGATCTTTCAATATAACTCCTAATGGAGTAACTGACTGTTTTATAAGACACAAGGAGAAGCTGACCTCCATTGTCTTTTCTATCAAAAAATGCGTATTCATTCACATGCATTGCAGGGATATAATTGTTAGGAGAATAATTCAAGACTTGACAATTTCCATGACAAATTTCCTAGCCTTCTAGTCTTTTTTCCTTCGCACACTGCCCTATCAAAAAAATTCCTTCATTTTTAATCCATAACTAGTGCACAATGTCAGTGAAACCAAATGTCTATGTTGCTAATATTGTATTTTCTTCTAAAAGGGACAATTTTGTAACACATTTGTAATTTTGACCTTGATATCAGTGATTGTAAATGCTATATCAATATGGTTCAACAGCCAAAATGAATATGGATGTAATAAAAAGGTGAAAAATTGAACACATCAATGTTTCCCTTAAGTATTTATGTCAATTTTCAAAATTTTTAACTCTTTCACCAGTCCTTATCTTTTGCATATCTTCTACTCAATTTGTTTCTTTGCTTCTTTTCTTCTCTAAACTCAATGGCCAATTATTTATTGGGTGCTATTGTTCCAGTAATTTCCATTACTATAAATATAGCCCATATGCTATTTATCACTCTTAAGCTTCTCATCAACCTATTCTATCCCATACGTATCTCTCTGGACAAATTCTCTTACATTATTTTTTAAACCAGAAACATAAGGTAATATCAATACTAATATTCCACCACATTATACTGGGAAGTAAAAAGGAAAATAAATAAACTACCTGTTAGACATAGAGATTAGAAAGATGACAGCCAGAAGCTGGGAAGGATAGTGGAGGGCTTGGGATGGAAAGGTGGGGATGGTTAATGGGTACAAAAAAATAGAAGGAATGAATAAGACTATTTGATAGTACAACAGGGGGACTATAGTCCTTAATGACTCAACTGTACATTTAAAATAACTAAAAGGGTGTAATTGAAATGTTTGTAACACAAAGGATAAATGTTTGAGGAGACGGATACCCTCTTCTCCAAGATATGATTATTTCACAGGTCTATATCATAACATCTCATATACCTGTACATATCATACCTGCTATGTGCACACAAAAATTAAAAATAAAAATAAATAAATAAACTACATGTTATATTTATTATCTCAAATGGGGATAATAATAAATCATAATTGCTTCCTTAGAAATAAAGAATATAGATTGAAGTATCTTTGGAAAACCCCAAATTTAACCACAACATATAATTAGATGCAAGCTGAATTCCAATCTATTAAATTCCAAAACATTCAAAAATTGAAGGTTTCCATTTTACCCACTCTCTGATTACGTGTGTGTGTTTGTGTGTGGGTGTATACTACATATATATATATATATAATCATGTGTTGCTTAAAGACTGGGAAACATTCTCAGAAATATATCATGAGGTGATTTCATGTTGTGCAAACATCATAGAGTGTGCTTACACAAGCCTAACTGGTATAGCTTATTATACATCTAGGCCTATGGTGTGGCCTATTGGTGCTAGGCTACAAACCTGTACAGCATGTTACTATACTGAATATTATCGGCAATTATATACAATGCTAAGCATTTATGTATCTAAACATATCTAATAATAGAAAATAAACAATAAAAATATGGTATAAGAGGCAAAATATGGTATACCTGTATAGGGGAGCTCCATTGCAATCTTATGGGACCACCATCATATTCACAATCTGTGGTTGATTAAAAGGTTGTTATAGGGTGCGTAACTGTATATGTAACCACTATCCTCTTTAATAAACACCATGCTGTGCTCTGTTCTACAAAACGTGGCCTCATGTATCTTCTAACACTATAGCACATATGCCTATTCCTTAAACACAGCACTGATTTAAATGTATTTAATATTTATAATTTTAAATAATATTAGAGGCATTCTGCAATTTGCTTCAGTTTACTCAATATTATATGTGAGAGAGATTTATCCTAGTTGTTCACTCCATTTTATTGGTATAAAAACACATGGTAGGATTATGACAAAATCTATTAATTAATTCCCCTGCTTATTGACATTTAGAGTATAACTGATGTTGTAACTTTTAAATAATACTAATTTTTCTATAGACAGCAAAGGGTAATAAAGGGACACTATGAAAAACTCTATTCTCCCAAATTTGAGAACATGTATGAAATGGATAAGTTCTTTGAAAGAAACAGTCGGCCAACCTCGCACCAGAAGAAATGGACAATCTTAAAAGGCCTATGTCTGCTAAAGAAATTGAGTCAGTAATTAATAACCTTCCGAAACAGAATGCACCAGACCCAGATGAATGGACAGCAAATTCTATCAAACACTAAAAAATTATACCAGTCCTCTACAATCTTTTCTAGAATATATAAACAGAGGGAATACTTTCTAGCTCATTTGATGAGGCCAATATTATCCTACTACTACTACCAGAAAAAGACCATGAGAAAAGAAAACTACATACCAATATCTCTGATGAACGTATATGTAAATTCCTCAGCAAAATATTAGCAAGTAGAATCCAGCAATGCGTAAAAAAGAATGATATACCACAACCAAGTGGGATTTATCCCAGGTATGCCAGTTTGGTTCAATAATCAAAAACAAATTAATGTAATCCATTACAGTAACTGGCTATGGAATAAAAATCATGTAATTATATCAAAAGATGTGGAAAAAGCATTTTACAAAAATTCATGATAAAAACTTTCAGTAAACTAGAAAGAGATGGCACTTTCACAACTTGATAAGAAATGTCTACAAAACCTACAGCTCACATCACACCTGATGGTAAGAAACCAAAAGTACTAAGATCAGGAACAAGACACCACTGCTTTACCTCATGCCTTATGGAAAATTCAATTCCCGATGGACTGGACACCTGTATAAAAATATAAAAACTTTAGAAGAAAATATAAAAGCCTATTTCTATTACCTTACATAAGGAAAGGGTTTACCAAACTAGACTCCCAAAACACACAGAGAATTTTATTTGTTTTCACCTTTTCCTATTGATATTTAATACCAGCTCTACCAGATAACAGTTTTAACTTTAAGTAGGTTCTTAATTTTCCCTTTTTCAGAACAATAGCTGCATAATTCAATCTTAATTACTCTGACTTAAAGAAAAAAAATCATGTAACGTACACATTGTTTATTGGTAGTTTATTCAAAATTTCCTTGGTTATTTTTAGTCCATTTTTGTTTATTTTTGAAAATATAATTTTTGTTTTTTAGTTTAAAAATGTGATAAATTACATCAATAGATTTTTTAAAAATATTAACAGTCCTTTCATTCTTGGATAAAAGTGCTTAGTCCCTTGTTTAAATCTTGCCAGAGGCCTATTTTATGCATAATTTTACAAAAAGAATGTTAACCTTTGTTTGTTTATTTTATTCATCTTATTAATTTCATGTCTTTTTTGTTGCCTATTATTTTTCAGAGCATGCTCATATTTTGCAAGGTAATAGTCATTTGCTAGATTTTGAGACCTCATGCATGGCCAATTTTTATAAATATTCCATGCATGTTTGAAAAGAATAAATATTTGTTAAAGACTGAGCACAATCAAATACAGACTTACATAAAAACACAAATACATATGCTAATTCATAAGATTAGTTTCTTAATGGTTTGGTTGTTGTCTGAGCTATCCATCTGAGAGAACTGTGATAAACTTTCCACAAAACAGGGTTTTTTTAAATGTAACAAACACATCAATTCTTCTCTAAATAACTTTCAGCTTTTAAGGAAATGTCAACAAATGTAACAATCATTTGTTATTTTTTCCTTTAGAACATAACAAGTTAATCCCAACATTTTATGTGGGTAAATCAGGAAGATCAAAGTAATTTGAGTTATTTGAATAAGGTTAAAGAGAAAAGACCACTGAATTACTAGACTGTATGTGAAAATAAAAACAATTAGAAAAATACATGAGATAATAATTTGTGTATTTAGTAAAAGCAAATATAACTTAAGATATTGCTAAAACAATGAAAATTATGTTAAATTTTACTTTATTCAAATGTGAATTTTCTATGACTCGACTATAAGAAGTGATGGATCAAAAAGTATTTTCAATATATTCAAGAGAATAATTTGTGTATTTAGTATAAGAAAATATCACTTAGATAAGATATTGCTCAAATAATCTATGAAAAATGATATTAAATTTTACTTTCTTCAAATGTAAATTTTCTGTGATTCAAAAGACCATAAGAAGTGATGGATCAAGAAAATATTTTCAATGCATAGAATTTAAAAAGAAAGTATTCAAAATTGCCAGATCATTAAAAAAAGGGTAAAATGTAGTGAATGGAAAGAAAATGAATAGACAATTAACGGAAGAAAAAGATCAACTGACAATACACAGGAAAAATGTTCAAACCAACTAATAATAATAATGTAAACAAAAAAAGTTAGATATTATTTTCTACCCAAGAGACTGGCTTAAAAATGCCTTAGAAAAAACTAGTTTTGATAAGAATGCAAAAACAGAGTCATGTACTGGTAAAAATGGCATACATTTGTACTACTACTTTAAAGAGTAATGTAGCAATACCTGGTAAAGCAAAAAATGTTTATAACCTGAAGCTCTAAAATTGTACTTCTAAATGTATCCTGTACATAAGAAAAACTCTTCTACTCATATGCAATGACATGCTCACAATAATGTGTTTTACAGTATGGTTTGTTAGAATAATATATTAGAAACAATATAAATGGATAAATTATGCTATTTGCCTATGACAGCCATATGGCAGTGAAAGCATTGAACTAGAATCATATGTATTAATACATTCATAGCCTGAAACAAAATGTCAAGTGAAAGAAGCATTATATAGCAAGATATGTACAGTAAATATAATTTATACTAAATTGTAAAACCTACAAAATTTTAGTTTTTATGCTTATGGTTATAAAACATACTAATATTAGATTAAAACCTCATAAGAACTTTTATTACCAAATTTTTATTTTTATTTTTATTACCAAATTTTTGTTAATGATTCCTCTTTGGTCATGAGGTAGATTAGCATGATAAAGGCCTGCAGAGGCAACCTCTATTTGGATTTTATTTTATTATTTATTTATTATTATTATTATTATTATTATTACAGAAACTATTTCAACAATATGGTAGCCATAAAAATGCACCTGTCCAGTCTCCTGCTGACTTTGCTGTTGCAATTTGAAATCCATCAATGTATTAGTTCAACGGTCACTCTTTCCACTGGCTCCTCTAGCCAATAACTAAGCTCAACAGGGAAACTAAGGCAGACCTATACTTAAAAGATGTGACACTTCACCTGGAGTTTTGACTCCAGAACTGCTTGTGAGGCTTGCCAACACTTCCCTAGAACTGCACTGCTGTTTTGGCATTTCTGCCTTTTCCTTCTTCCTTTACTACCTTTTTCTTTCAAAGGGTTCAAGTTGTATCACAGTCGTATAGCATTCCTAACCTCCTGCAGCTTGCTCCATATTTTTAGTCAACACTGTGTTCCTCAGTGAATCTCTTGCAGGGCTTATCCTATCTTTCCATCTTTCTGAGAGAACTCAGATAAACATAAGCAAATGTGGCAAGCTGTTAAGATTCAATTAATCTCTGTGCTGAGTATAATGGTAAATAAGGATTTGATTAGGTGAAATAGTCATAGTTTCATATTTTATTTGTGTAGTTGTAATATGAGTAACTTAAATTTTCTTTTTATACTTTTCAATGTTTTCCAAACTTTTTTCTTTGGGCATTCATTACTTTGTAATCTGGAAAAAAGGTATACACCACATATGTATATATGTATGTATGTTTGTGTGTGTGTGTGTATATATGTGTATGTGCATATATGTTTCTGTGTATGTGTATATAAAATCTCATATCTGAAAATCAACCAAGATAAAAATCCAGCAGAACTCTATATTATAGCAGTGTTTTGGTAAAATTTTATAGTGTGACAAAAAGAATTAATATTTCGGTCCTAAGTTTTAACACCCACCCACGTGTTCTTTTTACATATCCACTTTTCACATCTCTGCTTACATTTTTTCTTTAATTAGAAATTTGAGGCAGAATCACTTCTGTCTGCTGATGTTTAAGGAAAAAAAAAACTTCCAAACAAATCTATGTCTGTATGCAGCTTTCTCACCATCATTATGAAAAGGAATTTGGAATTGTTGACACTTTCTTCTATATAGACATAAACCTTCCCTTTTGATAGCTTTTTTTAAAGCAGGGTTTACTTTTTAGATCATTTTACCCACAATTTCCGCAAGCTTTCTTCTTTCAGCAGAAGACTTGATGGCCAGCCAGGAAAGGTCATTAAATCTTTCAAAGATAAATCTTCAGCCTTTACCCACTCTTGAACCACAATGGACATGCATACACACTTTTCCAATCTTATCTCTAATTTGTTTCCAGCAATTTTCTTCTATGCTGAACTACCTCTGTAAGAACTTTAGTACACATTTATTGCTCTCTCTAAATATTTGCTTTTGCCATTCAGGCTACTTGGATGGTCCTTTTCAGTCTTCCATATCAATTTGAATGTATAAATGGTCTTCAAAATGTATTCTTTTTTATTGTTGAAAGTTTTTTCAATCATATTATAATTCTACTTTTTTAAAACAATTAGAAGACAAATACTATACTAAACTTTATTAGCTGCTTAATATTCCTAAGTAGTAACAGTTTGAAAGGAGATATATGTTTAAAGCAATTTAAAAACTTTATATAGTGCACAGCTAAAATTCACAAATGCATGAATGTTTAATTAATGAACCACAACACTATTACTCTGGAGACAGCTGAGAGAGAAACGTTCAGCAGTCATTTAAAGTGCCACTTGCTGCTATGGGAATAAATTAGCACAAGTCTTTTAAAGAGCACTATGTCAACATGTATCAAAAATTTATTTAAATTTGCTTTATTCTCTTTATTAGAGCAATTAAATTTCTAGAGATTTATTTTAAAAATAGTTATGTGTCAGAAGGCAAATATTTTGCTATGTGGATGTTCTATGCAGCATTGTTTAGAATTGTAAAATTTACAAAATTATAAGCTTGAACACAGGGATATATTAAGAAAAGAGTATTATAATCATATGGTAAAACACTATGTATCATTAAAATCATATTTTAGAGAATATTTATTTATTTATGATTTAATTTAAAGATGGGTTTAGGTTTTTCTTTTTAATTTTTTTCAATTGTTGCCATTTATATCTATGTGTACCTAATGTTTAGCTCACACTTATGAGAACATACAGTATTTGGTTTTCTATTTGTGCATTAATTTGCTTAAGATAATGAGCTTGAGCTGCATCCATGTTGCTGCAAAGAACATAATTTTGTTCTTTTTGTGGCTGTATAGTATTCCATGGTGTATATATACATTTTCTTTATCCAATACATCCTTGATGAGCAATGTGGATTAATTCCATGTCGTTGCTATTTTGAACAGTGCTATGATGACTATAGGAATGCAGATTTTTTTTGTGGAATTATTTATTTTCCTTTGGGTATATAATCAGTAATGATATTTCTGGGTTGAATGGTAGTTCATCTCAGTTTCTGAGAAATCTCCAAACTGCTCTCCACAGTGGCTGGACTAATTTACATCCCCACCAACTATGGATAAGTGTTTCCTTTTCTCTGCAACCTTACCAACATTTGTTATTTTTTGACGTTTTAACAAAAGCCATTCTGACTGGTGTGAGACGTTATTCTGTTGTGGTTTTGATTTGCATTTTCGGCTCATAAATTGGAAGAATCAATATTGATAAAATGGTCATACTGCCCCAAACAGTTTACAGAATCAAGATATTCCTATCTGATACAGTTTGAATGCTTGTCCCCTCCAAATCTCATGTTTAAATGTGACCTCCAATGTTAGAGGTGGGCCCAGTGGGAAGTGTTTGGGTTATTGGAGCAGATTCTTCATGAATGGCTTGGTACCTTCCCCATGGTAATGAGTGAATTCTCACCCTGTTAGTTCACAAAGGAGGTGATTGTTTAAAGGAGCATGGCACCCCTCCTCTCTCTCTCTTGCCCTGCCTCTCACCATGTGACATTGCTGTTCCTCCTTTGCCTTCCACCAGAAGCTTATGGTTCCTATACATTTGCAGAACAATAAGCCAGATAAATCTCTTTTCTTTATAAATTACCCTGTCTCAGGTATTCTTTTATAATGCAAAATAGACTAATACAGAAAATTGGTACCAACGAGGGCATGTCTATAAAGATACTTGAAAATGGGGAAGTGGCTTTGGGACTGGCGGATGTTGGAAGAGTTTGAAGGGCTCATAAAGAGACAGGAAGATGAGAGAAAGGTTGTAACTTAATAAAGAGTGATTTAATGGTTGTGACCAAAATGCGGATAGACATGAGGACAGTGAAGACCAGCCTTATGAGGTCTCAGATGGTAATAAGGAACTTATGCAGGACTGGAGCAAAGGTTACCCTTTTACCCTAAGCAAAAGGTTATGCCCTAGCAAAGAACTTGACTGCACTGTGCCCATGTGCTAATGATTTGTGAAAGGTTAAACTTAAAAATGATAACCTAAAGTATCCAGCAGAAGAATTTTCTATGCAGCAAAGGATTCAAGATGTGGTACGGCTCCTTCTAGCATCCTATTATCTGATGTGGGAGCAAAGAAATGATGTAAAACTGGAAATTATAATTAAAAGGAAAGTAGAGAATAAAAGTTTGGAAAATTTGCATCTTGGCTATGTGGTAGAGAAGGAAAGAGCATTTTCAAGAGAGGAAATCAAGAGGAATGAATAGTAACCTCTTGCTAGAGAGATTTGCATGACAAAATGGGAGCCAAGTGCCAATTGTCAAGACAATGGCAAAAAGTCCTGGAAGACTTTTAGTTTTCAGGACCATCCCTATCACCACAGGCCCAGAGATCTAGGAGAAAAGAATGGTTTCAGAGGGCAGTCCCAGGGCACCATTGCCCTGCACCATCTTGAGAGGCTGCTTTTTACATTCTGGCTGCTCTAGTTCAGCTCCAGCTATGTCTCAAAGGGCCCTAGATATGACCTGGACTGCCACTTATGAGAGTGCAAGCCACTGTAAGCCTTGGTGGTTTCCACGTGGTGAGAAGCCTGGAGAAACACAGAATGCTAGAGAAAACAAGGCTTGACAGCATCCACCTAGATTTCAGAGGATGTATGGGAAAGCCTGAGTGTCCAGGCAGAAGCCTGTGCCATGGGCAGAGCCTCCGCAGAGAGCCTCTACTAGGGCAATGCTGGGGAGAAATGTCTAGATGGAGTCCCCATGTTGTGGCCCTACCAGGGCACTGTCTCATTGGATCTGTGGGACTGGGGCCACCGCCCTCCAGACCTGAGAATGTAAAGCCAATGGAAGCCTACACTCTGAGCATAGAAAAGCCACAGCACTCAACTCCAAACCATGAGAGCAGCTATGAGGGCTGCACTCAGCAAAGACACAGGGATGGAGCTGCCCAAGGCTTTGGGAGCCCACCCCTCACACCAGTGTGCCGGGATATAAGAAATTGAGTCAAGAAAAATTATTTTGGAGCTTTAAGGTTTAATGACTACCCTGCCTGGTTTCAGACTTGGGTGGAGCCTATTGCCTTTTTCTTTTGGCCAATTTCTTCCTTTTGGAATGAAAATATTTACCCAATGCCTGTACCACCATTGTATCTTGGAAGAAAATAACTTATTTTTGCTCTTGCAGGATCATAGGTGGAAAGAACTTGCCTCGAGTCTCAGATGAGACTTTGGACTTTGAGTTGACACTGGAACAAGTTAAGACTTTGGGGGGCTACTGGGAGGACATCAATGTATTTTGCAATGTAAGCAGAACATGAGATGGAGGGGCAGTCCGAGGAAGAATGATACAGTTTGGACATTTGCTTCCTCCAAATCTCATGTTGAAATATGACCCCTAGTGATGGAGGTGGGCCTAGCGGGAGGTGTTTGGGTCATGGAAGCAGATCCCTCATAAATGGTTTGGTAACCTCCTCATGGCTGTGAATGAGTTCTCACTCCATTTGTTCACATAAAAGCTGTTTGAACCTCTTGGTACCTCCTTCTCTCTCTCTTGTTCCCTCTCTCTCCATGTGACTCGCTTGCTCATCCTTTGCCTTCTGTCATGATTGGAAGCTTCCTGAGGCCCTCAGGAAGTCTGCAAAACTATAAGCCAAATAAACCTCCTTTTAATAAATAACCTAGTCTCAGGTATTTATTTATAACAACACAAGACAGCGTAACACCAAAAAGGACTAATTTAATTCCCACCAACAATGTATAAATGTTCCCTCTTCTCGAAAGCCTTGTCAGTATTTGATATCTTTGGATTTTTTTAACAAAAGCCATTCTGACTGGTGTGAGATGGTATCTCATTGTGGTTTTGATTTTTCTCTGCTCATGGATTGGAAGAGTTAGTATCATTAAAAAGACCATATTGTCAAAAGGAATTTATGCACTCAATGCTATTCTTATCAAACTACCTATTTCATTTTTCACAGAATTAAGTAAAACCCTTCTAAAATTCATATGGAACCAAAATAGTTCCCAAATAGGTACAGATATACTAAGCAAAGAGAGTAAAGCCAGATGTATCACATTACCCAACTTCAAATTATAGTACAAGTTGACAGTAACCAAAAGAGCATGGTACTAATACAAAATGGACACACAGACCAATGGAACAAAATAGAGACCCAGAAATAAAGACATATCTATAACCATGTGATCTTTGGCAGAGTTGATGAAATAAGTAATGAGAAAAAGACTCCCTCTTCAATAAATGGTGCTGGAACAACTGGCTATCCAGATGCAGAGGAATGAAACTGGACCCCTACATTTTACCATATAAAAAATTAACTAAAAATGAATTAAAGACTTAAATGTAAGCCCCCAAACTATAAAAATCATAGAAGAAACCCTAGAAAATACCCTTCTCGATACTGACCTTGGCAAAGAATATTTATACACATGCTTAAACTCACTAATTTTGAGAATAAGAGTTTAGAAAATATTAGGTTTCCTTACTTTTTTAAATCAAGATATTCTAAAGTGATAAATGCATACAACATTACAGAATATACTTTAAAATAGGCCAGAAGTTATTGGAAATTAGCATAGTTAGTTGAATTTTCTATTTGCTCACCTATATTTTCTATTTTTATGTAATAAATACACCTAGTTTCTCTAAATACATAGAAAATAGGCATTTAAAAATAGTTTCCAAGAACATTTATGTACATAGAAAACATTTATGACATAATTTTAAGTGAAAGTCTCAAAATTGTACCTAAAGTTTAAACCAAACTTTCTTTAATGCATTAAAATGTGAAGAAATATTCTTTCTGATTGGAGAATTAATGGGAAACTTCTGTGTGTGTGTCTACGCACTCTTTAATTTTACTTTATTTGTTAAACTTTCTGTGATAAGCATTTATCCACTTCATATATTTTTAAAATATTAAACATTTAAAGCAAAATTCAATTCCTCTTTTGCTTATATTACAAGTTATTTTAAAAATAAATTTATGTTTAATAACCCTCTTTGACTTATATTACAAGTTATTTTAAAAATAAATTTATATTTAAGAGAAGGTGAGCTGCAGTCATTTTTATGCTACTTAAACACACCGATTATAAGTGCAACAATTATTTTCTTTATGTAGTGTGCCATAAAGTGAACCTCCATAAAATAACACTATGTATGTCAGTGGTAGGATATGTTAAGGAAGAAAGAAGTTCTTGATTATGAAGACTTTATTTTAACAACCACTAAGAGATGATTTTTATACAGAATGGAAAAGTTTTGTGTTTGAGACCATTTGTTGAGCAACAAATATATAATTTTCTCTATTTGATAATTTTGATTTATAACCCTGAATGGAGGGTTGTGCAAATGTTCAAATCATTCTTCACTTCCAACTCTTTATAGCTGGGTTCCTTTCTTTGCATAGGCTGGTCTCTACTGAGGACTGTTTAATGTTGCTGAAGTCTGAAGAAGCCTACTTTCAAATAATAAACTTTTTTTCTTATAGAATGTAAATACAATGCATTGTGCTTAAGTAGTTTGTTGGAAGAAATGACCTACCTACTTTATTTTCTTCCACATATTAGTGACCTGCTAAAGGTAACATTGGTGCCCTTGAGATTGGGCTCCACACTCTGGGAAGCAATATAGAGCCAGATTATTTGCTCTAGGAAACACATCCAGCAAGTTTGCTTTCGTGACAACGCTTGTATGCAAATGCAAGGATGGAAGGCTTGTTCTGTCTGTTCCTATGGTACCTCTGTAAGTACAATTTCTTTCCATATACCAAAGACATCAGTAACACCCAAGGTAGGGTTTCTTAATTTCAACATTATTGACTTCAGGGACCAGATAACTCCTTATCGGGGGTAGAAGCGGTGCTTTCTTGTGCAAGGCAGAATGTTTAGCAGTATCTTAGCCTCTATTCCCTAGATGCCAGAGGCAGCCTCCAGTTATGACAACCAAAATAACGTCTCCAGACATTGTCATATGTTCCCTGGGGGCAAAATAGCCTCCAGATGAGAACTGCTGATCTAAGGGAAATTATAAAATATTAATAACAACTATTTCATAACAGAATGATAAATAGGCCTGAATTTGAATCTTGATTCTACTGTAGTAGTTACTGAAACATACAGTCTTTGAGTCTCAGTTCCTCCACCTATAATATTTGAATAATATTTTTCATATGTATAGCATGACCCACAATCCATCTGCAACTTTAGTACCTCCCAGGGCAAATACTTTCATTTGTCAGTAAGAGATCATTTCAAGAGAGATGTGAGAAGGCAAGAGTAATGTGTGTGTTGTCTCCTCCTGCCGCACACATCTAAAGCTCCTTGGTGAGGACTGGCACACCAGTGTTAAGAAGTGTTTGTCTTCAAAGATTCTTATGGGAGTTTTTCTCCTTTGAACCAATGAAGTTTATATAGTTTATTCCATGTTTAATATTTTCTTCCATTCAATTAAAGCTAAAATTATAGGAAAACAACATTGCAGCTACCTAAACTAGCTGAGAAGTAGGCAGAAAAAAATACATTTCACTCAACTCTATGGCAAACTGGCAAACAGTTGAGGTTGGTCCTACTAAACATGGAATCCCAATTTGTAACCATGATTGCCCTTCTGAATATGGTAATGCTTTCATGTAAAGAAAATTAAAACTTAAACAAAAATATATTTAAATACACAGTTCACTGGAATTTTGTCTATCCACATCCAGACGATTGGAAAGAGTGCATATTTCTTCAAAACTTGTATTCTCAGTGATTTAGTCTCCATTGTTCATATTTGTTCATTTTAGTCCCTTAGAGAAAAAGGTTTCTTTTTGGCAAAGAAGCAATACATTAACAAAAATGCTTGTTTTTACATTTGTAACCAGTTTATAGTTTATATTAAAGTAGTACTTAGATTTCATCTATACACACACACACACGCACACATATAGTTGATGATAAACAAAAATATCCTGACAAGTTATTGAAATGGAGAAAGAAAATCGAATCCGTCTTAAAGAATAATAAACAGGGATGGGTGGAATCATAGCTCTTTTATGTATAAATGAATATTTAGAGTTTGAAAACCTAGGATATAATGCAAGGCAAAGAGACAAAAGTGGTAGCTATAGAAGGGAGAGAGCATAGCAGAAGTTAGAGGACATAAGTCTTTGTCATCATATCAGAGACACAGAGAAATCTAGGGGAATTTGCTGTAAGCAGTAATCTGCATACAATTTAAAGATTTGGGGAGGTACAAGGTTGGATAGAGTTGTTTTTCTCATCTGGAATGTTTTTTCTCCTATTCTCCATGGATCCTATATGTGTTTTTGTTTTTTGAAGGGTTAATGGAAAAGTTTATTACAGCAGAGGAGATAAACTATTTAATCCATTATTTAGTCTGACTTTTGAGCCACCAGTCACTGGTTGTCTATTTCACTAACACATACAGATCAGAAGGTGCTCAATGTAAAAGGAGCATAGTTCTTCAGGTGACATGTAACTCTGACATCTAAATTTGTTGGTCATGCTTGATGTGGGACCATCACTTTGAGTTCATTTTAGCTATAGAAACTTGTGAGATCTGAGTCTGGAAATATGTTCCTTTGTAGAAATGCAGTGATAGTAAAAAATAATTGACAGAAAAGTCAGGCAGGACTTATGTCCCTAAAACCACTTAACAATAATTATACCTCCAATGCTGAACATCTAGTCTTATAAGAAGGAAATTGAATACTTAGGTAAACTGTATTAGAAACATTGACTAGACCATGAGAAGTACATTTTAAAAATCATCTGAATGATTGACTTTGAAACCACATATCTAGGTTCTTCAATCTCATGAAAACTTCCTATTCTTCCTGTTTCTTCATCAAATTACTCACAACGCCACTGTTCTTTCACTTCATAAAGCTGTCAAACCATTAGTTATTCTTTTCTGGTTAGTTCTAAACCATTTCAATGATTCTAGCTTAGTTTTTTTTCTGTTTGACATTATCAACTCTCTTATGTATTATATCATATTTTCAGTACAATCAGAAAAAAATTCCAATCCTGTATCAATCTTTCTATCATCTCTAAACCTAAGCATAGTCCAGGGCGAAATCTACCCACACTCACAGATGGGTGCTCTGATGGTTAATTTTATGTGTCAACTTGAATGGGTTAAGGGATACCCAAATAACTGGAAAGCATTATTTACGGAAATATGTGGGAGGCTATTTCTGAACTATTGATAGATTTGCACTTGAATCAGTAGATTTAGTAAAGAAGATCTGTCCTCACCATTGTTGGTGGGTATCTTCCAATCTACCAAGGGCCCAGATAGAACAAAAAGGTGGAGGAAGGGCAAATTTTGTCTCTGCTCGAGTTGGGACCTCATTCTTCTCCTACCATGAGACAGAAGCACCCCCGGTTCTTGTGCCTTTGGATTAGAAATTGGATGTACACATTGACACTTCTGGTTCTCCAGCCTTTGAGTTTGGACTGGAACTATTCCAGTGGATTTCCTGGGCCTCCAGTTTGCATATTGCAGATCATGGGGCTTCTCAGCATCCAAAATCATGTGAGCCAATCCCTCAAAATAAGTATCTATTTGTCTTTCTATGTATCTACCTACCTCCTTTGGTTTTATTTCTCTGGAGAACCCTGACTAATACAAGTGCTTCTACATATTCATAGTCTCCAACATAAATTGGACCTGGCAATCCCACTATATTTATTTTATCTCCTTTTCTACATGGTAGATAATTTTAAATGTTCCATTCTTCTCATAACATTTTTCATATCCTATTAATCAAACTTCATTTTTAGCAGATGTTTTTGCATACTGTTCATAGACTCAAGCAATGAGATGAGAATTTAAGCTTTCATCCACAAATCTGTGAATGAGGATATGTAACAACACTTTACTGCTTCTTACTAAGGCATAGGAGAACTGTTCTTTCTACTCATTATCTATTTCTAATCCATCCTTTCTCATCATAGCTCTGACTTTCATCTGATCCTGCAATCTCTCAAACTCTGCTTCACATCATGTAATGATGTGATGCCTCTCACATCATTACATATAACCACCTTTTTCTCCGCATTAAAATTGAGAAGAAAATACGCAATAATATTCAAATGTTCTTTGCCTTTGCACATTCCTCCACTTTATGCTCTGGAAAATAAATCACCCATTTTATATCCAACGTGAATAGCCCACAGATTACAGAACGAACATCCTTTGGGAAACAAAAAGACATGTGACCTTGGTGAAACAAGTGAAAGAATAAATATATAAAACATCTATGAACAAGTAAAAGAAAGAAAAGCTTGAGAGAAGGAGGCCCAAGGGTGAAAGTGATGGCCATATTTTGGTGCTCATGTCTTGCACCAGACTAAGGTTCTGTGACTATGGATTAACTTAGGACAAAGGTGTTTTAGTAATTAAATTGAAATGATATTTAAGAAAGACACCATGGAAGTCCTACTGAATTTGAAATTTTAGTTTAGAAAAGATCTGATTTGGATGTTTTATGTAGAAAACAAAATTTAGGCCACATTATTTTTATTTCATATAATACAGGCAGTTTAAAAGTATTGCTTCTATTTGCAAAATGAGTTTATTTATTAAAATAATTAAAAGTGTATAACAAAGAAGTCAATGTTAGATTTCCCAGGGTTAGTTTAACAATACCATTCTGTACTTTTAGACATATTATTTCAAGAAATAATATTATAAATTATGATACTATAATCAGAAAAGCTTTAAAATTACTGAAAGGAGTATTGTTTATTTCATAGCCTCCTATTTTTGTTTATAGAAATAATTTCCCATTATCTGAGAACTAATTGAAATTTTGTAGAAGTCTGTTCCTTGTTTTATCTTTTTTACTTCCTTGCTATAATATTAAATAAAAGAGATGAAATCTTACTGATATTTCTTTACTTTTTACAATCAACCACACTAAAACCTTATTTTAAAACTAATGAGAAAGAGGGTTTGCCATCCAATCGTAAAAAATATTCTAGTCTTTCACATAGGTAATTATTTTAAGGTCATAAAACAAACTATATACTTATAAGTCACACTATAAATAAAAAATTAAAATTATATCATCAATTTTTTAAATTAATAGTTGCATTTGGATTTTACATTTGAATGTTTCTGGTTCTGCCTTCTCCCTGCTATTATTTTGGCAATTAAAAGGTAAATTTGTTTATGTATATACATATGTATACATACATACATATTTCTTCAAAGACTGAGACAAAATTAACCAAGGAAACGTATTCCTTTATTTAATTTTGTTTACTTATTATTAAATAAGTAATGGCCTTTGTTCTCACATTTTATATTATTTCAGCTAACAATTACTGAGTGTTTTCTATTAACTATATATTGATATTGTAACAGGAAGAATAAACATGAAATATTGAACGTGGCCTCTCTGGGAACCCAAATGGAGATATACAAATAAAGAAGTCATGGCATAATCTATATATGTATAAAATACTATGAAGGGACATGAATTAGTTTGGCTTTATGTGGTAGAATTAGAGAAAGAAGATACTCATTGAAGTCCACATCTTTTTAGGAAAGAATAGAGAAAGAAGAGCGAATTATAAAGAAGTAACTGCATGAGCAAAAATCAAGATATTTTGATTCTTTCTGTCTTGCAAAGTCAGAGACTGGAATTTTACTTAGGTTTTTTTTCCACAGAAAATTTAAAATTGTGTGATAGTAATCTGTTCATTCTATAGGTGTTTAAGCATTTTATTACTATAGACTATAAAACTTACAAATTGCTCTTTTATGTAATTATTTTATTTTAAAATTATTATTAATGTATTTGATAATTTTTATTTTCACTTATTTAGTAAAATTTATCATAGGTAAAGAAGTTATTTTAACAGGTTTTCATATTAAGAAGTCCATTGCAGAATAAAAACTAAAACCAAATTACAGGCTATCTTTTACAGAAATTATATACATCTCCTTTCAGCACCATTTTGCTTACCTTCTATAATCAGTCACTTAGCTACACCTGAAGCTTCCACGGATATTTTGCTGGGCTGATGGTGGATCAGAGTATGTGAGAGGTAAGAGTTTGGATGATGTATAAAGCCACCGATGGATAGTTTGAAAACTATCCAGTCATCAAAAGATTAGTACCTAGAATATATAAGGAACTCAAACAACTGAAGAGCAAAAAGAAAAAACCACAAATAATCCAATGTTAAAATGGGCAAATTATCTAAATAAAAATTTCTGAAAATAGGGCAAACAAATGTCCAACAGCTATATGAAAAAAATGTTCAAAATCACTTGCAATTATGAAAATGTAAAACAAAATCACAATGAATCATCATCTTACCCCAGTTAGAATGACTATTATAAAAACAAAAAACAAAAAACAAAAAAAAACACATGCTAGCAAAGATATGTTGAAAGGGGAAGGCTAGTACACTGTTGGCGGAAATTTAAATTAGTACAGCCAGTATAAAAAGCAGTATGGAGGTTCCTCAAAAAACTAAAATTAGAACTACCATATGATCTGGCAATCTCACTGCTGAATATATATCAAAACGAATGAAAATCTGTACTTCTATGTTTATTGTAGCATGTTAACAATAGCCAAAAAATGGAATCAACCTCAGCATCCACCAGTGAAATGGATGAATTTAAAAATTGTGTGTATATGTGCAATAAAAAGAAAATCTTGGCATGTACAACAACATGGGTGTAATTAATAGAAATTACATTAAGTGAAATAAGTCAGGCACAGAAACACAAATATCACATGTTCTCATTCATATGTGAGAGCTAAAAAAAGTTGATTTCATGGAAGTAGACAGTAGAATAATAGTTTTCAGAGGCTGGAAAGTGTAGCAAGGAGGGAGCGATGAAGAGAGGTTGGTTAATTGGTATGCATATACTGTTAGAGAGAAGGAATAAGTTCTTGTGTTCAACAGCACAGTAGGGTGACTATAAATGTTAACACACAAACTTCCCCAAATGGTTTTTAATCTAAATGAGACAGCAGTAAAAATCCATGGCAAGAGGCTTATACACAAAGGTCACTAGGACATCCGTGGAACCTAGAATAAACCCATGTGAGTCTGTCATTTATGTAACTATCATTCATCACATACATTATAACAACCTCTTAGAACCACACATTTGGAACACGTACACTGAAGTGCAAACTCTTTTTGAACTCATAAGAAAGGGAAACATTCTATTATGTGGGTACTATATGTAGCATTGCATAGTATCATTAAGAGGAATAATTTGCCCAAAAACATGGCTAAACACATGTGTGCATGCACTAAGAGGCACATATTTTTGTGTTGGAAGGGGATCAGGAGACATAAGTCATTATTTGCTGACCTTTAGCACAATGGATTTGAAAACATGATTTAGATCATTATAAGAAAACTATTTGTGGTTTAAAAAAGTGTTTAGAGGAATAGTAAACATGCATAAATATATAACTGGACACATTATTATCTCTGAAGTTTTTATGCCACCTTTTATGGTATGAAAACCATATCTTGACATTTTAGTGAACTACTTGACTCCACAAATGTGTATCTTCCTTAACTTTGATTGAAGTAAGTTTCCTTACTACTCTACTGATGACTATGTAGTAAATAATGCATTTAAAAAACAGGAATAAGCCTTAAAATAAAAGCTGGGCAAGGAAATTGTATAATGTAACATATTAATATCAACTTTCTATCTAATGCAACAGCAAAGAAAGTAGAAAATGCATTTGTTACAGGAAAAAATGCAACTAAAAATGTATCCAATGTCTTGTTGAAACCAGTAAAATTACACTTTAAAAAATATTCACTTATAAACTTCTATCCATATGCCCTTTATAAATCATGCTTATTTCAGTCAGATTCTGGGTGATGACTCAGAGCAGCAGAGAGAGAGACAGATAGAAGGCAATCAAGCTTCATGGGACTTTTGTACTTAGCATACTTTGTCTTACTTATCCACTCTATCTCTTTCCCTGCCTCCCTTTCCATGATAGTACAGTTCAGTACAGCTAACTTCATTCTGGACTGACTCCAAATGGGTCAAAATACAAAACCCAATTTATTTACTAAATCCATATGAAATGGAGTTCTGTGAATTGAGGCAATTAACCATTCTGACTTTTGTAGCTTGATTATTATAGGAATCTCTAGAATAGAACTAACTTTTCTATATATGCTTCCCATACTTAATTTAAATATTTATTCTCTGTGAGTTAGGATAAGTGAGACAGATGAATACTAAAGAACAACTATATTTCTCAGAAGAAAAAGAAATTATTAATGCACGCACACACACACAGACACACACACATAGTGTTTTTTCCTTTCAAAGAATATGCTTCCTACATGCTGCAACTATGGGGAACACTAATTTGCAACTCCTCTTTCTCTTGTCTTTTTAGGTTATAAAAGAATGATTAATTATTCCACTTTGTTGCCCTGTTCCCCACTAAAGCTCAGATTCAAAGGAGTAGTTAAATATATCAACTGCATCATCTCTATATAATTGAAATTTGTCATTATTTTGGCCATATGTCACAATTAAATATTTTTTGTGTTTGGGAAGTCTCCTGAAGGAAAATATAGAAACTTGCTTCTCCTGCCGGGATGCATAGATTTGACCCAGATTCCACAAGTCAGAATCTACACATGAAGCTTTAATCTGGAAACCAGTCATGTGGAGAGGTAAGCAGCACTTGGGATTCACTATCATGACATGGATGGCTGCAGTGATGTTCCACATTCAGGGTCAGGTTGGCGGTAATTGTAGCAATAGTGCCTGGTGCCAGCATGTGCTAGTCAGGCTGCAGTATTGGTGCCTGGAACTGGCTGGGGTCAGTATGCTTCCCCTGAAACTGTCTGTGGTATCCTTTCCTTGATATGTGAGTCACTAAAGCATGCTACTTAGGCATTCATTAGGATTCTGTGGGCTCTATAATAGTAACTGATAAATTTATTTTATCTTGAAAGTATGTTTTCAGGGTCAGGTTGGTGGTAATTGTAGCAATAGTGCCTGGTGCCAGCATGTGCTAGTCAGGCTGCAGTATTGGTGCCTGGAACTGGCTGGGGTCAGTATGCTTCCCCTGAAGCAGTCTGTGGTATCCTTTGCTTGATATGTGAGTCATTAAAGCATGCTACTTAGGCATTCATTAAGATTCTGTGGGCTCTATAATAGTAACTGATAAATTTATTTTCTCTTGAAAGTGTTTAGTTTACAAACAAAACAACACATATATGCTACCACCAATTTTAAAGCATATACAATAATTCATTGCTTCAGGTTTCTTGAAATAAGTAATAGAGAACATGTATTGGTGAGAGCAGACAGAAGAAACCGATGGAAACAGCATCCTTGTCCACAGCTACAGGGAATAAATGAATGTTTTCCCTATTATTCTGCTAGGAAGAATATATTTTCATCATAATTCTCTCCTTTATGGCAGTCTTATTTTAGGAGTTGAAGTTTAATACAATTTTAGTATGCAAGAAAAAATGGTCTCCATTGGAAATATAGTTAACATATAATTCCATATTGTGGCTTATTGTTAAAAGATGTTACCTTGCTCTGTACCAGCACACCTTTAATCTTTGGGAGAGCTGTTGATGATGCTAATCAGTCTCTTTAATGTTTGTCTTACCAGGGTTATTAATAAACTTTTCAAGTGAGCTGTGGGTTTTTGCTTATAGGGCTGTTTTCTTTCTGAAAACATAATAACATAGTCAGCTTTCTTCATAAGGACTCTGGAAAGAAAATAATTCAGAGCTACTACACTGAGCCATTATTATTTATAGATATTTTACAATAGTATATAGGAAATATTTTGGTGCTGCAGCAAAAATATATAATTGTTTAAGGTGGAAAATTTGATAGAAAGAGATTTCTACTATGAAGAAGGATTTAAGTTTATCCTAGTGTTATGGTTTAAAGAACAATGTTGATCTTGGAGAATGCAAATAACAGCAGAGAGAGAATGTGCTTGAGTTAGGAGAAAGAGAGATGCAGAATTACGTGGGCACCCTGGGGGTTAACCAGCCAAGTTTAATATTTATCCCAGATCAGTAACTAAAATATCTGAAATGAGAAGCAGACATCCCAAAGCGGATGGTGTGGGTAAAGACTGAGGTGGGACACACAGCAGAGAATCTTGAACAGGAAAGCAGAGTCTGTAGGCTAAGAGCTGTAAGTCTACACTGGTCAATACCAGTCCTAGAGAAGTAACTGACATGAGAACTTTTATCTCATAAAGTGTTCCTTACATTCATGTGTAAATTATTTACAGATATCATTATATATATATGTTTGTGTATGCATATATGTGCAATGATATTATCATTAGACCTTTGACAATTTTATAAAGAAGAAAGCCTTTCCCAAGAAAAAGAAAGAGCCTTCATGTATGGTTTTATTAGCTACGTGGTTAATGTAATACCGTATGGCAGTTAAAATCAAGGTTCTAGTGTCGTAAGTGAACACTCTGTGGGGCTATAAGATGAGGGTCTATGTCTATGTATTTTTTGAGTGAAACAGTCATCGAAAACTGAAAAATATTTCCAGTGAAGAGAACAAGTATAAAAGCATGCTTGAAGCACATTTCGTAGGAAGCAGAATAGAAAGAGCAGAAACAGTGACATCAATAGAACATACGAAGATCAGTTTTGTTATACATTTTAGGCTGAATAAAAACATACAGGTAAGATGTTGAATATCTGTATGTTGGGACTAGAAAGTGTCTGCCATCAGCTTTAAGTGAGATAAATCAGCAAATAATGTTATCTGTATTATACTACACATTTATTTTGAGGGGAAAGTATTTGCTAATTTAAACACAATGTTTTGCCTTGATTAAACAATTAGAACAAAGATATGTAACCTGAGCATAAATTCCTGTTGTGAAGTAGAAGACATAAAATCCTCAATAAATTCTTATTCCTCATGAATCCAAATAGCTTATTAGACTATGAAATACAAAGTTGACTTGATAATTATGAAGTTTAAGAGATTAGAAAAAACATAAAATCAATTGTCTTGTCATACTAGATTCTGTTTTTATACATAGTTATTACGCTACTTAACTTTTATGGGCCGAATTATGTCTTTCAGGAATTCATATGTTGAAGCCCTACTTCCCCAGTATCTCAGAATGTGACCGTATTTGGAGATAGGGCCTTTGAAGAGGTGGGTAACAAAATGAAACTAGTAGGGTGGGCCCTAATCCCATCTAATTAATGTTTTTATTAGAGGAAATTTGGACACACAGAGAGACACCAGGGGATCTCATATATAAAGGTCATATGATGACACAGAGAAGAAGGTAGTCATTTGCAAGCTGAGAACACTCAGAAGAAACCAAATCTGATAATGCTTCGATCTTGGGCTTCTAGCCTCTAGAATGGTGAAAAAATTAATTTCTGTGGCTTAAGCCATCCAGTCTGTAGTATTTTATCATGGTAGCTTTAGGAAAGCAATACACTTACCATTGCATATGTTTTAGTGAAGCACATTCATATAATCTATGGATAATATACTGTATTCAATGAACATGTTTCGTTTGGTTCTACCTGTTATTGTTCAGCTCTTTCATAACATATGCTGATGATTGGTAGGCATTAACTTTTCATAACCCTTGAAATTTTGCATGGAAACCAAAGCTATATTAAAAGGAGGAGCTAAAATATAAATATCATTTGTATATCTCCATGTCAAAATTGCTAAACCCTCTTTTTATAGTTATAAATATGCTAACTGTACCTTTCTGCTTAAATTTTTTGCTCAAAGCCAGTTATCTTTGCATCATTTCTCTGTGTGTGTGTGCATGTTGGGAATTAAATAAAAAGGAATAAGGCTGATATTATCGCAATGTGCAACACCATATAGTACATTGTAAACTATGAAATAGCCTTGTAATTACTGACCACCCTTTACACTGGACACTGTGCAGTGAAAACTGTTTATTAAAACAGAACTCAATTTGATGCATACCAAAGATTTTCTCTTTTGTTTTCTTGCTTTTATTTATCCAACTTCTACTCTCAGAAAGTACCTGCAAAGCATTTCCCACAGAGCAATGATTAAAAACTTATGAGTGGGAATATATTTTTTTCTGCTTCATAATAAATCAAGAGATGAGCACTCTTAGAAATAGCAGGTGTAGTCAAAAATTTGGGTAGCTATGCTAATCAATTTAGAGAAAAACGTTCTAATAAAGACGGATATGGTGACTCCTTTTCTCAATTCCCACACTCCCAGATGTTTCACATGCATTTTTCCCTTCAGAAAATGTCTTTATAGTACTGCATTCTGAATTCTAAAATATTTGTGAGAAATTATTTAGCACTCAGGATAGCCCAGAGCCTGACACATAGCTCTTGATATATATGTCTTGCATGTCTGAATTC
Source organism: Homo sapiens (assembly GCF_000001405.40). Taxonomy (NCBI): domain Eukaryota; kingdom Metazoa; phylum Chordata; class Mammalia; order Primates; family Hominidae; genus Homo; species Homo sapiens. The sequence continues at coordinate 103,877,709 of NC_000003.12, forward strand.
GATGTTTTGAAAAGTATTGCAGCAGAATCTGAATTGTCACTTAAACATTGATGTTATAATATGAGTAACTGAATCAATGTATATGGCTTATTTTAAGTCTGGATACTAAATAAAACTATGATCAAGTGAATCAAATGGTTCATTATGGGCTTAATCGTGCTGCAAAAGTGAATTGTAAAACTCAATTCTCGTCTGGATATATTATCCAAATTTATTACTGACAAATTGCTTACCATAACTTAATGCACTGACAGCAATATATTATTTCATTTCCACATAAAAAGTGAGATAAATATATTGAAACTGTAATTCTAATTGTATTACCAAGCACCTGTTCTAAATTGAGAATTAATCATGCGTTTTAAAACAGACAGAAGTTATACCATGCAAACTTTTTCCTACCATCTAAATGGCTCATGTAACTAAAACTATTCATGAATTTCTGTGAACTGCTTTTTACTTTTATTTTCTTTTTAGTTAACAAATAATAGTTGTATATGTTTATGAATTTCAGTGTGATGTTTTCATACATGTATGCACGGCAGAATGATCAAATCAAGCTAATTAGCATACCTATCAACTTAAATATCTGTCGTTTCTTTGTGGTGAGAACATTTAAGATCCTTATAGCAATTTTGAAATACAGAATTCATTACTACTATCTACAGTCACTAAACTGTGCAACAGAACACCAGAACTTATAGGAAATATAACTAATTGAAACTCTGTACCTATTGACCAATGGCTTCCCTTTCACCATACACTCTCACCTCCCTCCAACAGCCTCTGATAACCACCATTCTACTCTCTGTATGTTCAAGTTATTTGACAAATTTTTACGACAACTTGATTATTATGAGTTTCTGTGTGGATCTCTTTAGATTGATCTTATTTGGCCCTTTCAGCTTTCTGGATTTGGATTTCTATTTCCTTCATCAGGCGTGGGAAGTTTTCTGCCATTATTTCTTTGACAATGTCTACTGTCGCTTTCTCTTCCCCTTCTGGTATGTTGTTACACTTGATGGTGTCCCAAATGCCTGTTAAACTATCTTCACTCTCTTTATTTTTTTCTTTTTTCTTTTCAAATTGAAAGACTTTCAGTAACCTGTCTTCCAGTTCACTGACACTTTCTTCTGCTTAATCTAGTCTGCTATTGAACCCTTCTATTGAATTTTTCAGTTCAGCTATACTCCTCTTTACCTCTATGATATCTGTTTGCTAATTTTTATGCTGCCTATCTCTTTGAGGAAATTCTCAGTTTGTTTTTGCATTGCTCTTCTAACGCTGGTGAGCAGCACTATGGTCATTATTTTGAATTACCTGTTTTGTAAATTACATATTCCCACTTTATTTGGTTCAGCTTCTGGAGATTTCTCTTTTTCTCTTATATAGAATATATTCCTTTTATAAAAAAATTTTCATTGACTCTCTGTGTTGGTTTCTGCACATTACATAAGACTCTACCAGTCTTGTTGCACTGGCACTGTATAGAAGAATCTCACCAATCCCTCTGATCAGATATTTTAATGTGCCTCTCATTTTTTTTTTTTTTTTGGTCCAAACTGTTGTCTGTTTGGTGGTCTCTTGGAGCTTAGGATGCGCCACATCCTGTCAATATTCTAAGACCAGTAAGATAGGAGCCAGACTCTCTAGATATAGGTGGAAAGATTGAAGTGTAGTATGTGTGTTTTAATCCCTTCTACCTTTGCAATGAAGTTTAGCATAGCATTTACTGCTCACTCTCTCCGCATTAAGCCGGGAATGGAATCAATTGCAAATGCCCGTACTCGTCTTCAGGCTGTAATCTAATTCTGGGGAGATGTCTGCTTGGAGTGGGCCCATTGTATGTCCACCTATCTCTTTTCTGTGGTCTAGGATCACCCAGTAATGCAAGACCTATCTCTCATAGCTAAGTTGCTAAGGAGTTAGTCCCTCAGATGGAAGCTAGAAAAGTTGTGGTACTTGATGTGTGGTCAAGCTCCTACCAGGAAAAATGAGTAGAACTGGATTTATCAGTGAGCAGCCTGGAGGAAAGGCTCCTGAGTGTCAAGCTGAGGAGACTCCCATACGCCTAGTACCAGAGATAAGAGGTTTAGGATGGAGGTGGCTGTAAAAGTTGCAGGCACTGGATGCATGGCATAAACAGGGAGCTGCATTCTTAAAGCCCCTTCTCTGCACTGGTCTAAAGGAGGAAACCCCTGAAAGTACTTGCAATCCATATACAATGCCACTTCCCCGCTGCCACCCGTGGTCTAGATAGACTTGCATATAATTCGTTTCCTCTGTTCCCAGTGCTAGGAGGTTTAGGATGCAGTCCTTTTCAGGGTGGAAGCTGTAAAAGTTGGAGTGCTCAATATGTGAACAAGCTCCTTCTAGGCGCGATTAATAGGCCTAGAGTTATCACTGGGACTGTGGAAAGACATTTACCACTGTTTATTTGTCAGTGACAAGTATCATGTGGAATTTTGTCTTCCACTAAATATCCTGATTATACATGTAAAAATCTTTACAGATGTTTATCTTAGTCTGTTTCAGCTGCCTTAACAAATTAACATAGACTGAGAGCTTATAAACAATAAAAATTTATTTCTCGCAGTCTTGCAGGCTCACAGTCCATGATCGAGTCGCTGGTAGAATTGGTGTCTGGTGAGGCTCTTTTCCTCATAGATGGAGCTTTGTAGCTGTATAATCACAAAAGGGAAGAGGAAAACAAACTCCTCTGTGTCTGTTGTATAAAGGCATTCATCTCATTCACGAAGACTCCATCCTCACGACCTGATCACCTTCCAAAGGCTCCACTTCCTAATATCACACTCTTGAGTGTTAGGATTTTAACATATGAATTTTGGAGGAATACAAACATTCAGACCACAGTGACTCTCATTTTTGGATACTTTTTAGGTACGCTTCAAAGTCTCCTCAAATATTTTACTTTTGTGTGAATACTCCCCTATTTTCTGAAAATTCAGGAAAGTAAAATGCAGAGTCATCATGGATTTACTATATGATTTGACAATTATGACAATGTATTTATTCTTTATATTCATTGAAAGATAAAACTTATTGCTTGATAAATCTGTTCATTAATCAACAAATATATTGAATGCCTAGTCTCTTATTGGTAATAAGCTACTATAGGTTTTATACAAAAGTGAATTGCCCTAGTCCCTTATTATGCTCAATTTCTAATATAGTGTGGATGATATGTAGTGGTTCGATTCCAAACTAGTTCTTGAGCACTATTCAGAACTAAATCCTCTTCTATTTCCAATGGTGTTGAGGAAGATAATAAAAGCTACAAGATAAATGCTCTCAGGGGACTCTCCTTGGTAGATAATCTGTGCACATATGCCGATATATAGGAATTCCAATCAGTGGGCAATTCAGTGGTAAAGACAATCTCAGTAATGGTCATTCAGTCACAAATTCAGTGGTAGAAATAATATTAGCTCTAGAACCGAAGCCATGAACAAATACTTTTAGTTGTGCTAATTAGTGAGGGCTGACAGGTTTTCCACATCCCAGTGATAGCTTAAATCCCCAAACTCACTAACAGAAAATCTTTTTTTTTTAAATTATACTTTAAGTTCTAGGGTACATGTGCACAATGTGCAGGTTTGTTACATATGTATACATGTGCCATGTTGGTGTGCTGCACCCATTAACTCGTCATTTACATTAGGTATATCTCCTAATGCTATCCCTCCCCCCTCCCCCGCCCCTCGACAGGCCCTGGTGTGTGACGTTCCCCTTCCTGTGTCCAACTGTTCTCATTGTTCAATTCCCACCTATGAATGAGAACACGCGGTGTTTGGTTTTTTGTCCTTGCAATAGTTTGCTGAGAATGATGGTTTCCAGCTTCATCCATGTCCCTACAAAGGACATGAACTCATCCTTTTTTATGGCTGCATAGTATTCCATGGTGCATATGTGCCACATTTTCTTAATCCAGTCTGTCATTGATGGAAATTTGGGTTGGTTCCAAGTCTTTGCTATGGTGAATAGTGCTGCAATAAACATATGTGTGCATGTGCCTTTATAGCAGCATGATTTATAATCCTTTGGGTATATACCCAGTAATGGGATGGCTGGGTCAAATGGTATTTCTACTTCTAGATCCTTGAGGAATTGCCACACTGTCTTCAACAATGGTTGTACTAGTTTACAGTCCCACCAACAGTGTAAAAGTGTTCCTATTTCTCCACATCCTCTCCAGCACCTGTTGCTTCCTGACTTTTTAATGATTGCCTTTCTAACTGGTGTGAGATGGTATCTCATTGTAGTTTTGATTTGCATTTCTCTATGACCAGTGTTGATGAGCATTTTTTCATGTGTCTTTTGGCTGCATAAATGTCTTCTTTTGAGAAATATCTGTTCATATCCTTCACCCACTTGTTGATAGGGTTGTTTGTTTTTTTCTTGTAAATTTGATTGAGTTCTTTGTAGATTCTGGATATTAGCCCTTTGTCAGATGAGTAGATTGCAAAAATTTTCTCCCATTCTGTAGGTTGCCTGTTCACTCTGATGGTAGTTTCTTTTGCTCTGCAGAAGCTCTTTAGTTTAATTAGATCCCATTTGTCAGTTTTGGCTTTTGTGGCCATTGCTTTTTATAAATGTAAAAGAATGTTAGCATTGGCAGAGAAATGTTTGTATATAACTGTAATTGACCCCTCTAGGATGCATTTCTGTCAGGAAAGGAGATGCCATTCCCTATAAATCAATGGTCTTATGGTATCCTGCTTACACAATCCCAGGTTTCTTAATAATAAACAGTAAACTAACAAGTTTTCATTCACAGATTGATAAAATTCCTAGACTTACATCTGCTAAAGAGAAACAAAAAGAAAAGGAGGGACAGCAATAGAAGAAGGAGGAGAAAGGAAAGGAGAAAAAGGGAGAGAGGAAAAAGGAGAAAAGAGAAAGGGGAGAGGATAAAGAGGCAGTGAAGGAGAGAATAAAACAGAGTAGGAAAAGGAAAGGAGAGGAGGAGAAGAAGAAGAAAAAGGAGACAAGAACTTTATTCACATGTGTATTATCCATAATACAAAGTTGTCCCAATTTTAAGATTCCCATATTTATTTTCTGGTTTACCTTCATATCACCTTCCAGGTTCCCATTGGCTTAGAATATAATCCAAACTGCTTATGTTGGTCTATGTCCTCAATAATCTAGATTCTGCAATCTCTCTAACTTCTTCATAAATCACTATGTTCACTGATTACTAAATCTCAGTACCAAATTCATTCAGTTATTTGCTTCTGTGCTCTTTCTCTTCCTTGCCATTCTTGTATAAATTTTCTCTTCTGACATTTTCCCCACTGATTATCTTTGAATAGATAATACTTTCTCTGTCATTTGATCTAAGCATGTATGCTGCATTCTCTGAGAGGTCCTCAGTGACATTACTATTTAAAGGAGCTCTTTATCTGTGTATCAGCACAATGTCTGTATTATTTATTTACAGTTTGTTTTTCTTTTTTTATTCTTTTCTTTTATTCAGACTCTATTCATCACTAGACCAAAAATTAGGCAGAAATAATACACATCTTCACTATTGATTAACTAATGCTGTGGATATGTGTCTCCTATAATGTAAGTGCTCAAGAAAATAGCTTATACATAATATAAACAATAGATATATTAATGCTGTAAATGCATGAATAAAAAAATAAATGTCTTCTGGCTTTAAACTCCTTATGGATTACAACATTTCTGTTACTTTGATGGCTCTTTGAGATTTCCACAATTTTATTTATCTAAAATTATTCACTTACTGTCTGATTTTGGCTACAATTTTATTCCAAGATTTCTTCTAATTTTATCAGTCACAATTCTGAGTTTCATTTCTACCATAAAATTTCAGAGTTATAGTTTGAAAATCTTTATATATTAGTTTTTATTGTGACAACATATTTGCCAGTTATAGTTGACTGCATAATAACAATTGCTTGCCTTTCTTTTCTAGATAGAAATATTTTTGATCACTCACATCTCGAGAAAAAAAATCAGATAGTTCAATATAGTAGACTTTTACTTCATAACAGCAATTGACTTACGAGTCAGTAAAATGTCCTCATTTTGACAAAAGAGATACATGAGAAGAAAGTCTCCTCTTCCACTGGACTTTTGGTGCCTAAATGGTGCATGTGTCATTACTTTTTCTATCATGTTCCAGCTATAATAGCAGAGCAATATAGGAAGAAGAATCACAAGAATGGTCAACAGCCAAATTGAGAACTGCATGCTTATGTGCTATGCCATCTGACCCTTTTCTTTTCCAATACTTATAGCCAAAAATCTCTTAAGAGAAACAGATAAAAGAACAGTAGAAAATATCACTTCCTCATCTTAAACAATGTAAAATCCCTCATTACTTAAGCTTAAAGACAGCACACTGAATATTCTTGAATCCACTCACGTTGATTCAGAGCTCTTGTTCAAAATACAAATGCTCTAATATCCTCAGGGGCTTTTGTTGAGTTATAGATCTGTTTATACTAATTATAAATGTCTTCAGATAAGAAAGAGTATTTGCCTGTTTTCATATTTTTTGGTCCATTTACCATAGCTTAAATACCACTTTCAATCTGTTGGCTTTAAAACATTGTGTTAGTCCATTCTCATGCTTCTAATAAAGACATGCCCGAGACTGGGTAATTTATAAAGGAAGAGTTTTGATTGACTCACAGTTTCGCATGGCTGGGGAGGCCTCACAGTCATGGCAGAAAGCAAAGGAGAAGCAAAGGCACACCTTACATGGCCGCAGGCAAGAAAGCTTGTGTAGGGGAACTTCCCTTTATAGAACTATCAGATCTCATGAGTCTTATTCACTATCAGGAGAACAGCATGGGAAAGACCCACCTCCATCATTCAATTACCTCCCACCAGGTCCCTCCCACAACATGTGGGAATTATGGGAGCTAATTCAAGATGAGATTTTGGTGGGGACAAAGCCAAGTCACATCAAACATATATACAGCAATTTATTTTACTTCCATTGTTTCAAATAGTAATTCTTATATATTTCATTTTCATGACTGTTAAAAATGTTTCTCATGCTTATTTCTAAATTTATGGCAATATTTTAAATGACCCACTTTCCCAGAAATCTAACCTTGTGAAAACAGTTTTGTATTTAGGATACAAGGTAAGATACAGAGTCTATTAGTCATTAAACAGGAATAGTTTTCATTTCGAAGATTTCTTGAATAATTTTGATTAGTGTTCTAACCATCTCTAGGTGTTAAAGCTCCTATAAAGATATTGCATTCTTATGAGTGTCCCTATAAACCCCAGCTACTGAGACTTCCACTTTGATACTCATGTAACTTAGATTTATATGTGTAAATTAGTCTTAATGGCCACAGCAAATGTTCTTTGTTTATAAGGAGAATCAAATGTATTTACATATAATCACATGTATTTAAATTATGAAATGAATAAAAACATCCCCTTTGACTCCTCTCTTTATTATTAAATATTCCTTCTGTCTCTGTGTTGTAGAACAAATTGAATTGCCGATGAAGTATGATATGCTAAAATATAAACGACTGTACTTGTTCATTTAATCTTTTGTCTATATTTTAGCATATCAAACTTCATTGACAATTACTAATCTTTTTGCCACAAAAACTGATATATTACTTCTAAAATTAATCTAACCTAGATTAATATGCATTAATCTAAGAAGATATAATTTACAGTAGCCACTTCAAGCAGAAAAGTTGAGTCTCCTTGCTAATAATCACATCTATTTAAAGATGTGCAAAGGTATGAATTTTTAGAGTAACTATAAACAACCGTGCCAACTCCAGCTTTAAAACCGAAAGTGTCTCCTGTGATTCTAGACTTATCCCCACTTAAAATATGAAGATTTACCACGAGAGAGATAAATTGCACTGGAGTTCTTTCACCATCTAAATAGTCCTAATTTACCCTCCAAGGCTTGTTCTTTTAGCTCAGTTTCCAAGTTTTAGTGTAGTTTGCTCAGAGTCCTAATTATGCATAAACATAAAAAATATTTTCTCTACAGCTCCAGAGCATGTTAAAATCTTCTACTTATAAGTGCAGAATTTTCCATTTCTTCCTTTATGTTGTCAATTGTTGCCTCATGTGAGCCTGTATTATTAGATGCATATACATTTTCTATTGTTAAGCCTTTCTTGTGTATTTTTCTTTGTATTGCTATGATGTGTCCTTATTTATCTCTAGTAAAATACTTTGCTTGGAAGTCTTGTTTATCTAGATTTTAAAAGTTATTTCGGTATTATTATGCTGCTTATATGAATGCTTTATCTTTTTCTGTTTCTTTACTTTTGATTTATCTGTATCTTTATGCTTAAATTGTATCTTTTAGTAGGCAGCATATATCCAATCTACTGTAGTATCTATGTTGAAATTTATCCTGGGCATTTTAAATGTAATATTGCCATTTAACTGGAGTATTTTTACCACTACTATTTAATAAAAGTATTGATATGGTTGAATTTAATTCTACTAAGTTTATCATTCATTTTTGCTTTTCTCTCTTAATTTTGTTTTACAGTTTCATTTTCTCTGCCATCTGATTATTTGAATAGTCTTAAATTATATATTGACTTACAGAATATGGTTACCCTGCAGATTATAATATACATATCAAACTTTTTATAGTCTGTTTACTATGCAGATTGTACCATTTTGATTAAAATATAGAAGGTAAGCAACTATAAAGATTATTTCCTTTGTCCTGTGCTCTTTATATCACCATTATCATGTATGCATACATTATAAACTTCACCTCAAGATTTTATGTATGTATGAATGTATGTATATACACATATATATGTATGTGTTTGAGCGGGCCATTATTATTCTCTCTGGTATTATTTCTTTGTAGTCTGAAAAACTTCCTTTAGCAGTACTTTTAGAGAAACTCTGCTGCTCATGAATTCTTTTACTTTATTATTATTTGAGGAAGTCTTTATTTTTTCTTCATTCCTGAAATATATTTTCTTAGGGTAGAATTCTGTAAGGACACTAATCTCATTCATGAAAGCTCTGTCTCCATGACCTAATCACGTTCAAAAGGCCCTACCTTTCAAAACTGCCACCTTGGGGATTAGAATTTTAGCATATGAATTTTGGTGGGATGCAAACATTCAGCTTATAGTACTCTTCTTCAGATTGAATACATTATATTCATCAATAGAATGATTAATAGATCATTCTTGATCAGTCAAGTCCAGTGATTCCTTCCTCTTGTCATCTCCATCTTATAATTGAGCCCAGTTATTTTTTAAAAATTTCAGACACTTATATTTTATTTTGACAGTTCCATTTTCTTATTTTTTATAATTATGATTTCTGTGTTGAGAGCTTCTTTCTATTAATTTAATGAAGCATATTTACAATGACCACTTTAAAGTTTTTCTCTAATAATTATAAAATCTCAGCTTTCTCAGGTTCTGAATCTGATTGCCTTTTTTTCTTGAGGATTGCTCTGGTATCTCTAGCTCTTTGTTTAGTAATTTTGGATTATATCATGGATATTTTGGAGGTTATATTGGGCAGAATTTTTCCTATACTAATCCTCCGAACAATGTTGATTCTTCATTTTGTTTTGTTTATTAGGCATTCAACTAAATTAATTTCAGAGATCAAGTTCTGACTGCCACCCCGAGTGTATTTTTAAAAGACTGCACTATATTTCTTTAAATTTGTCCTATGCGTCAACCACTTGGAATAATCTGAGACCTAGGTCATCGCTAAATATCTGCTGCCTGTGTTCCTGAAGCTCTATTCATTTTTTCCAAGACTGTTATACTGCTTTTCTTCTGTTCTGTGTCTGAGTAACTCAGGAATGAGCCCAAACCTTGTGCTGATTGATGCACACAGTCAGGGCATTTACCTTCTCCAGCTATTTTTTTTTTTTCCCCAGGATTCCCTCCACAGTCTTTAGCCCAAAAAGACCCATCTACTGTTTTCTTCCTTCAGAAAGATGAGGTTTCTGAGTGCTGTGGATTGAATTGTGCCCCCTCCACTAAAAAGTATGTCGAAATCCTAACCTATTATTACATATAAATTGAACTTATTTGTGAACAGTTTTTGCAGATATAATGAAGATCTAAGTTAAGATGAGATCATACTGGAGTAGGGTGGGCCCTTAATCCAATATGACTATTCTTCTTCTAAGAGAAGAAGAAAAGATACAGAGATAGACAAACCCAGAGATCAGAATGCCATGTGAAGACAGAGACATGTAAGGAGAAGGTATCCATACGATGATGAGGGCAGATATTGGAGTCATGTATTTAACAGCCAAGGATTGCCGGCAAGCACTAGAAGCTAGAAGAGGCAAGGAAGAATTCTCTCTTTTGGTTCCAAAGGAAGCACAAACTTGCAAACACCTTAATTTTAGACTTCTATTTTCCAGAACTGTGACACTAATTTTTATTATTTGAAGTCACCCAGTTTGTGTCACTTTGTTATGGGAGTCCTGGGGAACTGATACACTGAGTTTTAGGCTTTTGCAGTATTGTTCTGCCAGGAAGCTTCTGAATCGTGACCCACCCTCAGAGAACATCTAAGACTAGGAAAAAAAAAAAACAACAACAACCAAACAAACAAAACTGGTGAAATCACCTTTGCATGAATCAAATTTCCAAGCTTTGAAATTACTCTATAATCTGCCTGCTTCTGTTTATTTTTGGAGTCCTTTCATAGTTCATTAGTATGCAATGGGCTTCTATCAACATATGGAATAAGAACTCATCTTTAATTTTTAATTTCAAGAATTAAATACATTTTTCTATCCTGTTTATTTTCAAATTTATGACCATATAATAGCTCTTTTGTCATAGATTTTAATGCAAACTTTCGATTCTATTACCTCCCTTAAATTTCTTCACTTCACTTTTTAACATACGGAAAAGTAAAAAGAACAGATATCTAAAAAATGTCATTAAAAATAAATCACTCTCCTAGTTAGATTTTAATCTTAATTAGCCTTTTGACATCTAAACCATAAGCAGCAAATGAATTGATAAACCAATGCCTCTGCTAGCCCACTTCGAGGATCTCATAAAATATTTTTATCAGGTACTTTTTCTATTTCAACGTGCAATATATCTGTGGGTTCAATTTGCTCTACAAATAATTCTATTGAACACACAAAAGGGAAATAATGCTAATGGGTACAACTTGCATTTAGCCCAGCATTTCTAAATTTTTGATACAACGTATTTTAATATTCAATGAAAACTTAATAAGATTTTTTTCTTCTGTAGTCAAGTAAAGTTGGAATATGTAGTGTTGTATAATCATATAAATGATAATTATCTAAATTTTGGACATTCTCTGAGCTTTTATTATGTTAATATGAATAATATAGATGCAAGAAAATTACATACTAGGCTGACTTTTACAAACTGTTTTTTACAAAGGACATTTTGTATGAGATTATCTGTTAACATTTTGAGTAAAATTAGTGTCCCTTAAAATTTATTTCAGAAATACTCTTACAGCTAATCCAGGTTAACTGCTAGGGATATCTGTTCTATTTTTTTTTTTTAATCCTCTTTAAAATCTTGTTTTCCTTAGTGCTCATAAACATTTGAGAATAAATATTTGGAGCCTGCCAATATAGCTTTGAACTTAATGTCAGGAATTATGTAATTTCCAAACTACTTTATTTTTTTTTCTTTTTTTTTTTAACTGTGAAGAATTTGGCAAGGGTCATTTATATGGCACCATTGCTGTTCATAATTGCAAAGTTATGAAAAATGTTCCCTCTAGTTCAGTTTTGAGTCCTTCATGCCCTGCCAGTTTCTTAATGTCATTCATATGGACTGGAAGATTTTATTTCTTTTGAAATAACTCTGCAGTCTTATCACTTCTCCAAATATATTTGGCTTTATTTCCTTCTTATTTAGGTTTGAGTTACACTGTCTACATGAGAGAAACTTTTTTTATTACATCATTTTTACAACTATTGCACTTTTTCTTTTTTTTTTTTTTTTAGAATCTTATTGCTCAAGCTACTATCCTTACCCTTATTCTTCTTATAGATGTCATTTTCAAGGGTTTATATCATTTATTTGAATTAACCTTTTTATACATAATCTTTTAAAATCAGAGATAATCAATTTCCTCCATGCACAGGCATAACGATTCCATTAGGTCCAACTCACTGAGATAATTTGTCTTTGCATTGTCAGACCTGTGCTTTTAGACACTATCATGGCTTTTGAACTCCTCTTTTAAAATCTCTAATCAAGAAAATACATTTATATTTATTTACTATTTAGAACTTAAATATTGTATAAGCTGCATTCCTAAAAACTAAGATACCATTCTAAATGTTTGGTGCATGTATTGCCTAAATCAAAATGTTTTGAGCGATTATTAAACATTCAGATGTCTCGACTGACCTTATGCCTACTAAATCAAATTCTGCAGGGGACAGAATCTAATGTGTGAATTGTTAACAAACACTTAGGAGCTAACTATTTGGAAACATTGGTCAAAGATCACTTAACATTTGTTTTCTGTTATGATCTATAATATTAAATTGGGTGGCTTTCACTGATTTGACTTATTTCTTTTGAAAAATTATGCAAATGTCATATTCCAGTCTTAGTCCTATTTAATAGTGTCTGTGATATTACTCTAAAATAATGTTCACCTTCCTTTATTAAAGTGTTACTTTCCTGTGCTAATTAACTGTCTATTTTTAGCTTATATAATCCACTTCATTGCAGCGATCCCAAAAGCTTTTATAAAAAATTCTTATAAACCTTATATTGTACCAAAAGTTAAATTGTTTATTTATGGATTGTCTTTCATGCCATCCTAATCGACTAGGTTCAAAATTCTTTCAGGATGGAAGTAGGTCTTCTGAAACTCATTTTAGAATGCCTACAGCAACTGGCACAATATTTTGTACTTTGAAGGTGCTCAGTATGTTTGATGAATTGAGTTGAATTGGGCTTCTTACTTGATAATTTCTTAACATTATTAACAGGAGCTTTCTTCACTAGTGTTTTAATGTCTCATTTGCATTCATTCGTCTTATTGACTCTTTATTGACTTTTCTGCTGTTTTGTATTTGGAAATTTTTTTCCTGACTCTTAAGATGCATGGCAACCTTTGCCAAGAACTACTTTATCATTTTCGTATCACCAACCATCTGCCAGTATGGCATGTTACGCAGTTTATTATTTTATTACCTGTTACTCAGAATGGTGTGTCTAAAAATATTATCAGTAGTGGTACTGGAACAAAAACTTTTCTGTGCTAATATTGATTGGAAAAACACTGTACTGAATAAAATTAAATTGAATCTTTTGCTAGAGAAATCCCTAGGTCCTTCAATATAGTAATCAATAAACAATCATAGTGTTTAGCCTTTAAAATTTATTTAACCACAATAAATGAAATAAAGTAAAATTTAAAAGCAATCTTTTCCCACTACATATGTCCCCTAGAACTGTGCTATTTGAATTACATATCATTTAGTATTAGTAAATTAATAAACTTATTGTGGGGAAGATACTAGAAAAACAAAAAATTAAAATAAAAAAATAGTTTCTTTAAAATATTTGCTGGGAAATCACAGGTTCTTGATGTAAAATAAAACAAAACAAAACAAAAAACCAGCAAAGAACAGACAAAAACATTTACTAGAGAATCTAGGGATACTACCTAAATATCATAACTTCTGCAAAATTTATGTAGCAGATATCTATGCTATTTTATGGATAATTATTTCACGTCTTCTATCCCCAATTTTTTCAGCGACAATGACAATTTAACATAAATCCATTCCTTGCCAATTCTCCCCATGATCAACAACTTTTACTTGTCAATCACAGATGATTTCATATCATAAGATAAACAATGATAACTAATTGTGTTCACCAGGACCAAAACTAGCATTGATTGTTCTGTTTTTCTCATCTTCAAGACTAGATATTATAGGGATATTAATTGAAATTTTTATATGCCAAATTGTCTTACACAATACTAAATAAGCATTGTATGCTCAATGAATGCTGGCTTGATTCTTATTCAAACACAGAGTCAACAATGCACACATCTGCCTTAGATTTAATTTTCATATTTCTAAAGTTTACAACCTTCCTAGTTAACCATATGAACAGTATTGTAATTACATTTATGGAAAAACATTATTAGAAATTTAGGAAGCATTTAACTTTAGTCAATAGTCGTTGCACCATCACTTATGTTAAATTATTCTTGGAACAATATTCTGTGGTCTTCCCAATACTTAAAAATTTTCTAGTGCTAGATAATGTTGGTGCAGTTCTCAGCAAATTTTATATCAAAAGAAATGCTGTGCTGAGCTCTCTTTATTATTCTATTAAGACTTTGAATAAAAGGTAGACTTTTTTTGTTATAATTGTTGCCCTATATTTTATTTATAGATAAAAAGGATGTATTGCAACCTGTCAGCCAAGTTTTAGAAAGTACAGTTTATAATAATATTTTCCATTCTGATTTTCTATAAACTTTCTTTTATATAATCCTATAGCTATGTTATAGAAACCAAATAATATTAACTCAATTTAATATACTTTAGAATCTGGCAAAACCTGAAATCTACATTTACTCAATTCTCTCGCAGAATATTTTATTACGAAGATGAATAATTCTTTAAAATTGAAATAAAACCTATCGTTTTAGTAGATGAAATTAAACTGGTCTTTGAAACTAAAGCACTTTTTTCTTCTAAATCCATACTTAAAATATGACAGCAATTTTTACACTTAATCCTATTATTTATGAATTTTTATTTTCTTCCTTAGATATTTGTAGTTTTCATGTTGGTCTGGAAAATTGAATGTGATGTTTTGTTCAGTGAATTGATTAGAATATTTTTCTCAATAGATAGAAAGAGGTAGATAGATGGATAGGGAGGTAGATAGATAGATAGATAGATAGATAGATAGATAGATATCAATTATATAATTGCAAATGCAAATTTTTTTAAAGTTACCAAAATTCCTTAGTCAGATAGTAAAAACAATGTTTTATGCATGTAGGTATAGTTTCTTCAGTTTGCCTATTGCTTTCTTCTGATAATTTTTTCTTCATTCTGAACACATCTTTACTTATCTTTACTCATTCTAAATCTCCAATTATCTTTGAAGTTGTGTCATTTAGTAATAGGGCTAGGCACACAACAAAAAAATTTATCATATTTGTTTAGTAGCTGTAATTAATGGTGCATAGATTATTTAGAGAGCTTGCATAAACAAGAGAGCCAATAACAAACACTCTTACAGGGAGTAAGCATTATAATTTCTCCACTGGAAAAGTGTAGCAATTAAATACTTGAACACAAGAAGAATAAGCATCTTTATAAAGCATGAGGGAAACATGCATTCTGCCTCTTTGGAGAGTGAGGGAAGAATTTGTTTGTTTTTTTTTTCTTTTTGTTTGTTCAACATTAGGAAGAAAATCTTCTCTGTGGGTTGGGACCCATAATACCAATTTCACACATTCATTTGAAAAACAGTGAACTATGTGGTAGCCATGGCCTTGAAAATGCCAAGTATGTAAAAATGTGTGTGGATATAGATTTGTCTAAAGGGAAACTTAATATGATGGTTTTGATACTAAGCTCATGAATGACAAAGAATTAAATTACATGGTCAAGGAAGAGCACTAAGCCCAGATGTTAGTCAAGTTCCTGTTAAGATGAAATAAAATTATTTGGCTTTTTTCTTTTATTATTATATAAACAGAATCTGAGTCTGAATTTTTGGTCTGTTAAAATGGTAGGGTAATCTTCACACACAATGTGGTTTTGTCAAGGTTGATAGAGGCATATGATGTAGCAAAATGAAACGTAATGGAAAGATAATTCTAGACTTGAGAAAATGGTAAGGTAAAGTCAAGGTAATGAAAGTAATAGAAAAGATTCATTGATAGATTTTTCTATAGGCTTCTTTATTCTTAAAGAGCTCAACATCCTATAATATTTCAAGCATGTTTTTAAATTCAAGTTCTTAAAAATTATGAATTTCTTAAGGGCAGGCAATAAATTGTCTAATATCTATTATAAACATTTGCCACTTTAATACATCTCATAAATACCCAATAAATAAACATTTACTAATAACAGAACATAGGGATGATATAAAATTTTATTTTTTTATTTCTCTACTTTATATATTCTATAAAATTAGTGATGATTATGCTGGCAAAATAGCTATTAACATTTAGGAAAAGTCATAAAGAATAAGTCTAAAATATTTACTAACGATGGCAGATTCTAGAAGAAAGGAGTCATTAAGAGTCTACTGTACCCATGCTAGGGCAGGCACAGGAGTTATAAACACAGCAATCTGGTTCCTGTATCAAGGCATGTGGCTGATTTGCATGAGGCAATAAATTGGAAAATAATTGAGACAGAGAAAGCATGTGACATCAAAGGTAAAGTCTTTAACCAAAATATTGATTTGAGTAAAAGCTGGAAACGCAAAACGTGAAGGTGAGATGATTAGAGTTATGCACCTGGGTATTCCATTACTCTTGATCCTCTAAGGGAGAAAAATCACAATAAGCAAAGCAGCCAAAATGCAAGCACTGAGAGGAAGGAGAAGCAGCCAGAGGCATGAATTATCCTTCCACTGGAATGGGTAACTACTGAATAATTGAGGATTGACTTCAGGTTGAATGTTAAATTTCCGCTGTGTGCGTGAGCTGTGGAGCCCTTAGGTAAAGATTTGATTTACATAGATTAGATCAATAAATACAAGATAAACATAAGGAATAAATAATAACCCATCTTCAGATAGGAATCATGCTCTTAAGATTTGCTTAGCTGAATTCTTGAGAGACCAGCAGGCCGACTCTTCTGGCTTTAAAAATCAAGTATCTAAGCTACTGCCTTCCATAACACAAGGGGAAAATTGGCACACAGTGCAAGCAATAAACTTAGGTACTTAGAAACTATTCTTCAAGCTTGTTCAAAATACAGCTTGGGAACAAAGACAAACAAACAGCAGTAGAGTTGTTAAGTATATAGATCTTATTTTTTCAAGTCAATTTTACATGTAATGTTTTGAGTTTCCCCCCCTCCCAGTTGAAATACTATGGAATTTTACTTAAGCTTTTTTTCTGTAGAAAGTTTAAAATTGTGTGATAGTAATATGTTCATTCTATAAGTGTTTATTTAAGCGTTTTATTACTATAATCTATAAAACACAAAAATTGCTGTTATAATTATTTCAAAATTATTTTTAATGTGTTTTATAATTTTTATTTTCAATTATTTAATAACATTTATCATAGGAAAATATGAAGTTATTTCAACAGGTTTTCATATTAAGAAGTCCATTGCAGAATAAAAATTAAAACTAAATTACGGAACTAAAACTACCTATTACAGAAAATACATTCATCTCCTTTCAGCACCATTTTGCTTACCTTCTATAATCAGTCAATTAGCTACATCTGAAGGATCCACAGATATTTTGCTGGGCTGATGGTGGATCAGAGTATGTGAGAGGTAAGAGTTTAGATGATATATAAAACCACTAATGGATAGGTTGAAAACTATCCAGTCATCAAATGATTAATAACTAGAATATACAAGGAACCCAATAGCAAAAAAACACAAATAATCCAATATTAAAATGGGCAAATTATCTAAATAAAAATTTCTGAAAATAAGGCATACAAACGTCCAACAGCTATATGAAAAAAAGTTCAAATTCACTTGCAATTATGAAAATGTAAGTTAAAACCACAATAAAACATCATCTTACCGCAGTTAGAATGACTATTATAGATAAAAAAAAAACAGATGCTAGCACGGATATGAAGAAAAGGGAAGGCTAATACACTGTTGGTGGAAATTTAGTACAGCCGGTATGGAAAGCAGTATGGAGGTTCCTCAAAACACTAAAATTAGAGCTGCCATATGATTTGGAAATCTCACTGCTGGATATATATCAAAAGGAATGAAAATCTGTACTTCTATGTTTATTGCAGTGCTGTTAACAATAGCTAAAAAATGGAATCAACCTCAGCATCCACTAATGAATGAATGAAGTTTGAAATTTGGTATATATGTGTGATGAAATAGTACTCAGCATAAAAAAAGAAAATCCTGGCATGTGCAACAACATAGGTGGAATTGATAGAAATTACATTAAGTGAAATAATTCAGGCACAGAAACACAAATATCGCATGTTCTCACTCATATGCGAGAGCTAAAACAGTTGATCTCAGAGAGCTAGAGAGTAGAATATAGTTTCCAGAGGCTGGAAAGTGAAGCAGGGAGGAAGTGATGGAAAGAGGTTGGTTAATTGGTACGAATATACAGTTAGAGGGAAGGAATAAGTACTTGTGCTCAACAGCACAGTAGGGTGACTATAGTGAATGATAATTTACTTCATATTTCCAAATAGCTTGAGGATTTGGAATGTTCCCAACTCAAAGAAATGATAAATGTTTGAAGTGATAGATATGCCAATTACCCTTATTTGATCATTACACGTTGTATACTTGTATGAAAATATCACAGACACCCCATAAATATGTACAAATATTATGTATTCATAATAATTAAAAATTAAAAAGCACAACAAGTGACAACATTAGATCAGCAATTTAAGGTTACTCTGGCTATAATCCACAGAATAGATTAAGTGCAAGCAAGCCTAGAGGCAGAGATACCAGTTAGGAATCTGTGATCGTAGTCTAAGTAAAGTGAGTATGATTACCTGAGTTTAGGTAATACCATTGGGAATGGTAGGTAAGGAGAAAATATTTGAAAAATGTTTTGGAAGTAGGCTAGGTGTGGAAGATGGGAGAGAAAAAAACAGTCAAAGATTGATGCTTTTGAATAAGACTTACAAGCAAGAGGATAAGTTCAGGGACACTTATTAGAAAAGAAGAGGATAATTATTTGGGGGGCAGAAATTGATGAAGTAACTGTACATATTCTATTCTAATTGATTAGGGGACTATTAACTAACTAGACATAAATATAGGAAAGAGGTCAAGGCCAGAGGTAAAGATTTTGCAGTGTCTGGGATAAGAAGACCCTAGGTGAATGTTTAGAAAGTAAAGACAAGTGATAGAGAAGCATGGCAAGAACAATAATATAATGGTAAAGTGGAAAAAAAAAACCTACGAAGAAATGTAAGAATGAGGAGACATAACTTTCATTTAAAAACAAAAGAAAGAGAAGCTTTCTCATAGAGTATAATCTATCAATGACCAATTGGCTGGTACTGGCTCATTAGATTCTGGTTTAGACTATTATAAAAGTAGGAACAAATGAATGCTTATATCTATTGAGCAATCACTGTGTGTCAGGCACTGAGCTCAGCTTTTTAAAGGCATTATTTTAATTACCTTCCTAAAGAATATAATTATTATTTCAATTATACAGATAAGGAGACTTATAAACAATGCATAAATTATTCATAGTAACAGAGAGAGGAAATGTGTACCCAGATGTGTCTGATTCTAAATTCTGTGCTTTTTAAATTACATTGCTAGAGTTTTTTCAAGTGTGGGTCTTAAACAACTTGTAATTGCTTAAGGTTCTGTGAAAGAAAGAAAGAAAGAGAAAGGAAGGGAGGCAGGGAGGGAGGGAGGGAGGGAGGAGGAGACAGAGAGAGAGAGAGAGAAAGAAAAAAAAACGAAAAGAGAAAAGAAAAGAGAGGGAGGGTTGCCGCATTTTCTATTATAAAACATTTATTAAAGCTTTTAAGTCACCCTCTTTGATAAAGGAATTGAGATTTCCCAAAAGTATTTTAACAAAGAAAAGATGACTTTTGTCACTAAAAGATGGAAGACCAATTTGAAGAAAGATATTATAAGGTTAAAACACAGTCAAAAGAGATGTAAGTCATAACAGGAGAATCTTCCTAAATAATTTTTAAAAGTTACACGTGAATACTGTTTATTTTTTTATTTTATTTTATTTTATCCTATGCCCTGAAAAAAGTTGAAGTATAATTGTAGTGAAAATATTCAATCACAAATAATTTGTCTCTGTTGTTTTCTTGATGGTGTCACTGAAAGATCAAAGATAAAAATTGATGACACAGTTAGGCTGCTGAAATCAAACATGAAGAAACAGTTTCAGAACTGGCTTTGACTATTTTTAAAAGAAGAAATCGTGCTAGGCATGGTGGCTTATGTCTATAATTTCAGCACTTTGGGAGGCTGAGGCAGGAGGATTGCTCGAGCTCAGCAGTTCAAGATCAGCCTGGGCAACATGGTGAAACCCCACCTCTACAAAAAGTAACAACAACAAAAATCAGCCAGATGTGCTGGCAAGCACCTGTAGTCCCAGCTATTTGGGAGGCTGGGGCAAAAGGATCCCTTGATCCCAGAAGGTAGAGGCTGTAGTGAGCCAAGATATTGCCACTGAACTCCAGCCTGGGCAACAGAATGAGACCCTGTCTCAAATGAGAGAGCGAGCGAGCGAGAGAGAGAGATGAGGAATCTATTCACCACTTTATTCCAAGAAGAAACTTTTACACTCCCAGATTTTGTATGCGAGAGTCCCATCAATTTGGCATTGACAAGCAATTGCTTAATCATTTAAAAGAGTCCTGAGTGAGGAGTTTTTCAATAGTTTGGGAGTCAATTTTATATTGGAATATCCAAGCAGATCTAACAGGGTGCTCCAACATTGCTATCTTCTTCAACAGTACGTAATTTTAAGTAAATATTTAGATATTATGTCAAAGGCATAAAACTGATAATTTGTGAAGCCTGATATTTGGTTTATCACCACTGAAATATTACCCATACCATTGGTATAAAGCAATCAAACACAGGTCTGATCTAGAATGTACTAGATAAATAACTGTAGTTAGAGATATCAGAGAGCCTGCTAATCAGACAGAGTGAGGCTAAGGATTATCAAGTATTTAGACTGACAAGTATACTTATGGTCAGAATTACAGACATACCTCATTTTACTGTGATTCACTTTATTGCTTTGCAGATATTGTGTTTCTT
Organism: Homo sapiens; assembly: GCF_000001405.40. NCBI lineage: Eukaryota > Metazoa > Chordata > Mammalia > Primates > Hominidae > Homo > Homo sapiens. Next base: position 103,898,707 of record NC_000003.12, read on the forward strand.
TACAAATTGAATGTTTGTGGCAACCCTGTGACAAGCAAGTCTATCAGCATCATTTTTCAAACAGCAGGTGCCCATTTTGTGTCGTTGTGTCAGCATTTTTTAGCAATAAAGTATTTGTTAATTAAGGTATGCACATGTTTTAGATATACTGCTATTTCACACTTAACAGACTACAGTGTAGTGTAACATAACTTTTATATGCACTGGGAAACCAAAAAAATAATTGTATGACTTTCTTTATTGCAATATTCGCTTTATCGCAATATTTGCTTTACTGCAGTGGCCTGGAACTGAAACCCACAAAATCTCCAAGGTAAGCTTTTAATCACATACAAAACAGAACACGTCCCCATCATATAAGCAATTCTTCATAGATGGTTTTAAAATAAAGTCCAAAGCAAGTCATTCAAGGTATAAATATAAAAGTATAGATGTCATTATACCACGAATATTAGCACTAATGCGTCAGGAATTGCTGGGTTCTTGGTCTCGCTGACTTCAAGAATGAAGCTGCAGACCCTGGCGGTGAGTGTTACAGTTCTTAAAGATGGTATGTCCGGAACTTGTTCCTTCTGATGTTCAGATGTGTCCAGAGTTTCTTCCTTCTGATGGGTTCATGGTCTCGCTGGCTTCAGGAGTGAAGCCGCAGACCTTCGCGATGAGTGTTACAGCTCATAAAGGTAATGTGAACCCAAAGAGTGAGCAGCAGCAAGATTTATTGCAAAAAGTGAAAGAATAAAGCTTCCACAGTCTGGAAGAGGACCCAGGTTACCGCTGCTGGCTCGGGTGGTGTGCTTTTATTCCCTTGTTTGGCCCCGCCCACGTCCTGCTGATGTGTCCATTTTACAGAGTGCTGACTCGTGCATTTACAAACCTTTAGCTAGACACAGATTGCTGATTGGTGTGTTTACAATCCTTTAGCTAGACGGAAAAGTTATCAAAGTCACCGTGGGACCCAGAAGCCCAGCTGGCTTCACCTGTCACTAACATATAAAACACTAAAATTGTGACACAATTCTTATTTAACAAAGGAGGGGGGAGGGATAGAGCATTGGGAGATATACCTAATGCTAGATGACTAGTTAGTGGGTGCAGCTCACCAGCATGGCACATGTATACATATGTAACTAACCTGCACTTTGTGCACATGTACCCTAAAACTTAAAGTATAATAATAATAAAAAAAAAGAAAAAAAAATATGCATGCCCTTGGATTCTGAGAAGCACTACTGTAGTTCCACTAATATCCATTAGAGACTTCAGAGGGACTCAGCTACAAGACCCCTTATCATACAGTGTGTGTGTGTGTGTGTGTGTGTGTGTGTGTGTGTGTGTGTGTTTATGATACAGAGGGACTAGGAAAATCTGAAAGAGTTAGAAGTATATTGTTACATAAAACTTAAGAATTTTCAGATAGGTAGCTAGAATATTCTTTTTATATGCCAAAATATGGACATCTAGAATAAATGATGTTCCTAAAAGGAAACAGGCCAGAAAGAAAGCTGAAGTGTGGGAAGAATGGGATCTATCCAAGAAGCAGAGATAAATAATATCAACCCCTTAATCATATGACTCACATCATCATAAAATATAAATGGACGTTATAATGGTTAGTTGTCTGTTCTTTGACATTAGAAAGGCATAGCCAAGAAGGAGAGACCTGAGAAAGTAATTATAAATCAGGGATAAAATTCTGATTCGTTTTTCTAAGAAATAAAGCATATAATTAATTGGTCATTTCTCTCCATAAATACAGTGAAGTAAGACACCTTAGCTAGCATTTTTATGGAATAATCTGGAAAAAAAATCCACAATGAGCCCTCAATTTGTAGATAGTAATAGTCAAAATTCAAAGACATAAATTGTAAGAAAAAATGTAGCTCTGAGAATGAGCAGAATAAGCAAAGCTTTAGGATAACTTTGGATACAGGAAAATTATCTAAGGTAATATAGTAATGTGATATAATCCATTATATGAGAGAAACTTTTACCAAGAGTTTCAAAATAGGTGGAAAATGTAGGTATGGAAATATTTTTAATATTTCAGAAAACTTAATGGAAAGCAAAATATTATCTTCAACAAGACTACACATTCAAAACCATGGTCTTTTTCTTATTCATTTTTGACATGAAGTGATGGAATCATGTGTAATAAAGTGGCAGCATGTTTATTTGATAGGAATTGAAGTTCTGGAATATATAAGATAAGCCTTATATATTTATGTATTAGTACTACATGCTAATAGTATTAATATGTACCACTACCAATACAAGACAGATTTTATTAGACTTTAATTACATGTTCTTGATATTGGTGACTAAGCATGAGTTATAGACATATAAGATTGAATTCACACATTATTGCATTTGGAAATGCAATAATTTTGTAGTAAATAATGCCTTTTAAATATTGACATCTTTTAGATAATTTTTTGGTGTTAAAAATGTTCTATTATACATAAATGTTTTGAATTCCTGGTCTAAATAATTACATGTAGAATTTATCAGATTTGTTTTTAAAGATGTCTTTTGGAATTGAAAGTACAGCTATATGAGGGAAACCACTGGAAATAAAATTTAAAATACATTGAATGCAGGATTATGGAATGGGGAATACATCAGGACAGGATATTTCAAGATAACAACTCTTCTGTTATCTATGTCTTAAATCTCAACTCTCTGCCACATCCTCACTTATAGGTTAATATTTTTTTTTAATTACACAACTGGTTTATTTCTGTTTTTCTTTGTTTCTCTCTCTTTCCTTTCATTCCTTCCCTCCGTCCGCTTCTCTCTCTCTCTCTTTTTCTTTTTCTTTCTATTTTTCTTTTTTGAGACACACTCTGTTGCCCTTGCTGGAGTGCCAGTGTCATGGACTGGGCTCACTGCAGCCTCCACCTCCCATGCCCACCTAATTTTTGTATTTTTAGTAGAGTTGGAGTTTCACCATGCTGCCCAGGCTCATCTAGAACTCTGGAGCTCAAGCAATCTGCCTGCATCAGCCTCCCAAAGTGCTGGGATTACAGGCAGGAGCCACCGTGCCCAGCCTCATCTGATATTTTTGATAATGCCCTTCACTACCCAAATCCTCCATCAACTCTATCAGCTGATGATTTCACCTTATATTTTATTGGAAACAAAAAAAAAAAAAAGAAGGAATTCAGGAAAATTCTTATCTTCTCAGAATCAAACCTGTTAACCTACATCTCTACCCAACATTTTTTCTTTTACTCCTTGCCCCTACTCCAAGTTTTGATTTACTTGACTTCTGGATTTCACCTTCTCTAGAACACTGAATTACATTGCAATCACATGATTGCAGTCATGATACGGCAATAGCATTGTTTCTGTTCTATTAATATATCATCATTTTTCTTAGTCACTTCCATAAGCATACAGTATATTGTAATTTTCATCTTGCCTATTTTTAAGCAAACTAACTAGCTAAAAAGATCTCCTTCGACCAACCACGTTTTCTCCTCAACTTACTTTTGTAATTCTTTTATAATCTTACCATAAAATAGCCAAAAAAGGAAACAAGTTTTGTACAGTTAATTTTGTGGGTTTCTTGACTTATATTCTCTCATTGTCCCCACTTCATCTTCAATCTATGACACTGCTCTTGTCCAATCATCAATGGCACTCATATTGTACTATCCAAAATTCACTTTTCTGTTTTTACCTAATCCTACCTCTAAGCGGCATTTGCATAGTTGAGCACTCCTCATTTTCTTGAAGCATTTTGGGTTGTTCTTTCTGTAACAGCATACTCCCATAATTTTCTTCCTAACTCATAGTTCTCTTTCTCTTTCTCCATTATTTTACCTTTTGGTGTATGACTGAATTTTAAATAATGACATGTCTCAAGAAGACCCTGTCTTAGAATTCTTTTTTTTTTTTTTTTGGAGAAGGAGAAGGAGAAGGAGTCGCACTCACTGTTTTTCCCAGGGTGTGGATGGAGGGCAGTGCCGCCATCTCTGCTCACTGCAACCTCTGCCTTCAGGGTTAAAACAATGCTCCTGCCTCAGCCTCCCAAGTAGCTGAGATTACAGGTGGGCGTGCCACCATGCCCGCTGGTATCAAACTCCTGACCTCAAGTTATCTGGCTGCCTTGGCCTCCCAAAGTGCTGGGATTACAGGAATGAGCCACCATGTCTGGCCTGGAGTTTCTTTTTATCTCTGTATCACATATTCAAAAACAGAAAGAAGGCCAGTGAATTAGCATAACACATTAATAAAAGTTTGAAATGATCTCTTTATCTACACAGAAGTTAAAATGATTTATTACTCAAAATACTCGAATATATTTACAGTTAACTGGACCTAAAATAAAAACTCCTTATAAACTCTTTATAAGGTTTATAAATCCCTGCCTATGTGATCATGCCATATCTGTGTCTTAAACTTCACATGAAGGTATTTGTGTTTTGTTTTTGTGTGGTATGGCTATTCCTCAGATTTTCAAGAGGTTGGGTTCTTGTTGACATTCAAATCTTAGCTCAGTCTTTCTTTAGGAGCAATTATAATAGACTGCTCAGTCAAGATATCCAACAGTCTACTCATCATTTTTGCTCTTTACTAGAGGCTTCTCAGCTTGCAATGGGGTTACATGTAAATTAACCAATCATAAGTTGACCATATCAAAATATCCTATATCAAAAATGCATTTAATTCAAGTAACCTACAAACATCATACCTTAGCCTAGACTATCTCAAATACATTCAGAACAGTTATATTAGCCTACAGTTGGGCAAAGTTATCTAACACAAAGCCTATTTTATAATAAAGTATTGAGTATCCCATGTAATTTATTGAATGCAGTACATTGCAGATTTTCAGTTGTTTACCTTCACAATTGTGTGGCTGACTGGGAGTTGCAGCCCGCTGTCACCACCCAGCATTGCAATAGAGTATTTCATATCACTAGGCCAGGAGAAGATCAAAATTCAAAATTCAAAGCACTGTTTGTACTGAATGCAGATCCTTTTAGCACCATTTACAGTAAATAAATAAATAAATAAATAAGTTGGGGACCATCTGTATAGCCAACTCTTCTCCTTTTTATACAGCTATCTCTATCAAAGTGTTCTTGATTAACTACTTACCTACTTTTGCCTTCTTCAAGAATTTAGACTTATCTGTCTGTATTGCCAATGCTTAGGACAATGTCTGATAACGTACCTGGCACATAGCAAGTAATTGATATATATTTGTTGAATAAATGATAATAGCTTCAAAATTCTAAAATATTTAAACCTGTTGAAAATAATATTAAATTTTAAGAAAATGAGTAAATTTTTAGTCTAAGAATATAAAGGCTAACATTGAATATATACTTTAAACAGTTAAGGGCATGATTATCAAGAATACTCTCTTCTTCACTAGTAATTGAAATAGTAATAATTTAAGAGATTTATTCTATAAATTATACTTAAATTTCATTTACCTAAAGGTATATTTAAGGTGTGGCATTGAGAACCACATACATATTGCATTGTGGGTTAGGAAACTGACTTGTGACAAGAAAGATAATTTACACATAGTTGAGATAAAAATTAGAATGGTAAACATATTGCAAAGGGGCTTGAAAGCAAATTTTATATAAAATAGTCAATCATGGCTGGGTATGGTGACTCACGCCTGTAACCCCAGCACTTTGGGAGGCCGAGGTGGGCGTTATCACCCAAGGATGGGAGTTTGAGACCAGCCTGGCCAATGTGGTGAAACCCCCTCTCTACTAAAAACACAAAAGTTAGCTGGGCATGGTGGTGGGTGCCTATAATTCCAGCTACTGGGGAGGCTGAGGCACGAGAATCGCTGGAACCCGCGAGGCAGAGGTTGCAGTGAGCTGAGATCAAGCCACTGCACCCCAGCCTGGGTGACAGAGTGAGACTCCTTCTCAAAAAACAAAACAAAACAAAATGTCAATCATTGGAGAGAGGTTTTCAGCTATAGACCAACATAATAAAAATACTGAGAAATACACATCAAGCCTAAGTTGAGGAATGAATTGGAAGGAAATATGAAGAAAGTCTCTGCACAGTAAGTATATGAAAGAGCGTCTGGCCAATAATCCTGAAGAACTTAACTGAGATTGGACAGTTATGTAAGATACGGAAAAAGAGGCAAAAATTTAAAATGGGTATACCTTTTTCAGACTTACTGATAAATTACATGTGGATGAGAATGGACACAAGAAGAGTAAATGGTTTTGAATTTTGAGTTTAGGCAACCAGAGAAGAATCATACCAGTGACAGAAAAAGGAAAAGTAAGAAGGGCAATATCTAGATCAGAACTTCTTACGGGAAATAGGGCAGATTCAATTTTAAATGTCAATGTTAAGGTTTAACAGCATGTTAAAATTAAACTAACATCCTGACTGAGAAAAAAATATAAACAGAAACTAGTAATGATGTATATGAGGGAAGATAAAACCTGTCTTCCTGTCCATAAACCTCCAGGCAAATCAAACTGTCTGGCTGTCCATTACCATTATCTTCCTTTTAAGCCACATTTTTATTTCATTACAGGATATCAGATATGTGCTAAGTACTCTTCGGCACTCTTAAAAATGTATTTAACTTACTAAGGACACCATTTTGCTAGTAATTTTATTATGTACGTGAGCTACAGTACAGTAATGAGGTAGTTGCTGTGTCCAGTCACTGCCTCCTTTCTCATCATAAGCAAAGTTGTAGGCTTCAGGACTATTCCTCTTCAAACAGCTTGGCTTTCCTTTAAAACACCATTTTATTTTATCAGAATTCAGAAATCACCGTGCTTCTCCCTTATTTCTTGCTGCCAAATTCTGAAGCATCCCCTAAATCAGTGTTTTCATGAGTATTGATAAAAAAAATCACCGTTTAACAAAAGGAAGATGATTTTGTCTAGATATTTCTGTTTTAAGTGTTTAGATTTTGACTCATAAATTTAGGATTTTGAATGTTTTAATCTTTGAGATTTTGATTCATTCAGATGCTCACACATACACCCATATACAGCATAACACAGATAAATATTTTATCATAGAACTACAAAGTGATTGACTTTAGAAAAGAACAAAAAATCTAAAGCAATGGAACAGTATACAGTATACATGAAACAGTAAACAGCTCTCCATATTTGCAGGTTCTGAGTGGTGGATCCAATCACAATAGAAATAAATAAAAATTAAAATGAAAAATAAAACAATAAAGTATAACGCAAGTTTTAAAGCAACATACTATAACAACTATTTATATATCATATACATTGTATTAGGTATTATAAGAAATATAGAGATGAATTAAAGTATATGAAAAATATAAGTTATATGCAAATACTATATTACTTTATGTAAGGGAGTAGAGCATCCACAAATTTTAGTATTTCTATGGGGGTCTTGGAACTAATCCCTCTGTGATACCAAGGGATGACTATGTTTACTCTGAGATTTTGTTGGAAATTCAGTACATAAAGCAAAAATTGCACTTAGTTTAAATGATACTCAAAAATCTCTCAGAGTCCATGTTTCTTACCAACACAATTTTTTATTTAGTGTATCTAATCATTATTTCTTTATTTGGCAATCCAATGTTTTTGTTGCTTTATATTTAGATATTTATCTGAAATCCATTTTTAATTATTCAACATTTTATGCATAATAAACACAAACTTTTTATAACCAAGATAAAAAACGCCAGTCTGCACAGATGGTTTCTCTCCATGATCTGTACTGTATTCTGTGATTCATGGGTTACATGCCCCAGAGAAAAGTGCTTTTTATAAACACTGGATTAACACCATAATTGCACTTAGTTTGGAGAAATGCTGATGTCATGGAGGTAAAAGATAGCTATGACAACTGATAAAATAGGAGATCCAGAGATTCCATCTCACATACTGGGGGATAAGCTTATTTAATAAAGGGTCAGGTAAAGTCAATGGCATTGCATACATTATTCTCTTTTCCTCTTTCTCTTCGTCAAGGGTATCAGGTTAAATTTACATTATTTACCTCCTTGTAATTTTGGTTTCCCATTTTCCCAAATCAAGCTATTGTATATTATGACAATATATTTCAATCTATTCTTAAAAGACCAATAACATATTAGAGGATGGAATTTGGGAAAAGTAGAAGATATTATTTAGATAACTAGAGAAACTTTAGAACCAGAGAGCGATATGGAACTGTTGAGTCAGGCAAGCTATAAAATTCCCCAGATTCAAGAGATGTTGTGGGTGTTTATGGAAATCATTTCCTGTAGTGCATGAGAAACAATGCATAGAAAGACAGACACATTCAGTCCATGTTCTAATGAAAGGAGGGTCACTATATCACTCCTCACTTCCTTTCCCTTTCATGTTATGCTTTGTACACTCATTCACTATTGATTTATTGATCCGATTATGCTCCTTACACTGATGCTTGCAACATGAATATGTTTGTATCCTGACCTTGAGTAGTTTTCAGTCTACTCAGGGAATATGGAATGTAAACTAATAACTGCACTTAAATATGAAAAGTTTAAATGGCTTTGGAAACAGGGGGTTTGGGTGATATTTGTCCAACTGAAGTGCCTCTAGTTGTGAGAATTGGCACTTGAAAATCCAGGAGAGAGAATGAGTAATTTACTATTAAGGGCTGACTAAAATTGGTGATTTGAAGAATTATTCTAAGAATTTTATACCAAATATTTCCCCTGGTATTAGGTTCCCCTAGAAAGAACTATTTTTGTTTAATAAAAGAGAGTATCTGTGTATAAAAAGATAGATCTTGGATCAGGGACTGGGAACTCATAGGAGAGGTCAAAACTGAAAGAGAGGTGGGTTCTTCTCTAAACAAATAAAATAAATGTTAGAAAAATTATTTCTTTTTTCTCTCTCTCTCTTTTATATTTGAAATGTCAAAGAGATAAAAGGTAAAGAGACAGACTGATAAAGAAATATGAAGACACTGATGCCCAAATTTTGTCATTTCAGAAGTTTGGATGTGAAATATTCAATTTTAAGTTATTTGTGTTGCTGCAAGCCATAGGTTGCAAAATGGACTGACAACGATCTGCTTGCACAAATGCCGTAAGCAAATACAGTTGGCCCTTGGTATATATGCGGGCTGAGTCTGAGATCCCCCTAACTACTGGAGATACCAAAGTCCATAAATGCTTGACTTATTTATATTAAATATTTTGGTGTTTGCATGCAGCCTATGAACATCAATCCATAACTTTAAATCATCTCTAGATTATTTATATTTTCTAAAGCAATATAAATGCTATATAGTTGTTATGCTGTATTATTTAGAGAACAACAACCCACCCCCCCTCAAAAAAAAAAAAAAGTTTGTAGATGTTCGGTAAAGACAGAACCATCCGTTTTTTTTCCCCAAATATTTATGATATGCGGTTTGTTGAATCTAAAGATGCAGAACTCACAGATATGGAGAGACAACTACTTTGTTTTGTGTAAGAAAGAAGAAGGTCCTGGGATAGAAGCAGAAGCAGCAGTTTCAAGATGAGATTTCCATACATTTGTCTAAAACCAATGGAAGCAGGATATCAGACCCAATGGTGACACAAGAACACAAATCTTCTGAAAATTTACACTGTATTTGTTACAGGATATTGTATTGGGTATGAGCTTATCTTCTCTAGATATTAAAGTATGGAGTGACTCCAACTTGTATCTACATTGTTACTGTTGACCATTAAAAATATAATTTAGGTCACACCTCTATAGCTCCTGAAATTAAAATGTTAATACAAGCAGTTACTTAGTACTTGTCTTGATGTTATTATGCCCCAGCTATACTTTTTTGTATTTCATTTCTAAACCTTCCAAGTAGTAGAGCACAAAGATTGCATCTATCTAATCTCTGCCTACATTGCCCTTAATTTTTTCTCTCACACCATGTTATCTACTCTCACAAAAGTAAACAATGTTATCGTAATTACCAAATATAACAATCTCTATTAGACCTCAATTTCTACAGCTTTGACACCCTTCTAGATAAAGGAAAAGACAGAAAGTTTAGCCTTCAGGGACCACCATAATCTGTCCTCAAATTATTTTACCTCTGATCAGTCTCCTACATGAACTATTAATATCTGTTCCAAACATATTTTATGCTCACTATTGGCCAAAACACATTGTTTATGGTTTTTTTTGTTTTTTTTTTTTTGTGTTTTTGCTGTCCACTCATTGTTTTATTCCATTGCCTTTCTTTACCATTGTCCCTATCAAATACATTCTCTTTACTCCAAACATCCAAATATTCTCTGATCTTTCAAATATATCTACAAAACATTTTATAAAATATGTCATTGTCATCTCTGAAGCTAGAGCACTTAAGATTCTGACTACTTGGATTCTTCATCATATCCATCCAATAAAATTATATTGATTAATAAATATAAGTTGATTTTATAAATATTTTGGATAACTTCAATGTGAGTGAGTTTGAAGGAGTTTAGAAGAATGCTTTTTTTTTCTTTTATTCCCAGAAACCACTACCAAATACTTTTCTAAAACACTAATCCAAACCTAGAAGAAAATCTAAAACTTAAATCAATTAATTCAAATTTTCCTCAAATTATGAAAGATTCAAAACAAGGATAAATATCCTCAATGTTTATAAACACAAAAAATTCAAAAAAATGAACTCAGTATATGATGAAGAACATAAAGCATTTAATTTTTTACTTTATAAACAATTGCGTCACTAAAAAAAAAAAAAAGAGAATTTATTGTGAAAATATGTTTCTGCAATGTTAAGTGGTTTTTATGTTTACAAAATCATCAAAGCCTAATTTTCTTTATGGAGAATATGTCACCCTTTCATATCATCAGCCAACCACTTTTACAATTCCTATTGCTTTGATGTTGTCACAGCATTTTGATATATAAGAAGATTTCTAACTTGACAGAAAATTCCTAACAAATTGCTAAATGTTAAATGGAAAAAAAAATCAGTATTTGACAGATGAGTATATAAAAAGCACTCTCCTGGCATGCCTCACCTTATAGCATTTGAAAAAATGACTAATTGGGCTATAAATTAAATCATCAGTAAAATTATATGAAATGGAAATTCTAAGAAGCAAGCTTCATATAATCATTCTGTCACATCTGAAATCATATTGAAATCATTGCAAATAAAATCTGATCTTTCACAAACCTTCATTACTGATTTTCTCATTTAATATCATTTAATTCTCATCTGTGATAATCATTATGGTTTTCTCTGATTAAATGTCAAATCTATAGACAAATATAAATACCTTAAAATGTTGTCCTTTAAAAAGTGACAATTATCTCAGTGTTGATTCTTTATATACGTAGTCCAAAGAAAATATAAATACTAACTCACATATCGACAAAGTTTCTATGTAACAAAGAAATAACAATTATACCTATTAATATTATTGTTTTCAATTTTACTTTGTTCAAGTAGCATTTTGTAAAACATTTTCTTCCTTAAATAATTCTGTCTTTACCAAGCTCATGCAATCTTTCCAATCTGTCATTAGTTATGGCTGATTTGAACACAGATAGTGAAATAATAAATGTGTTATATGCTTTCCTTTAGAATGATGATAGAAATGATCATGACAATAAAACCAACAGCCTAAAATGTTAAATATGCATTGTTATGTTGTGTGCTATAATCCAAGTTTATCTGGCTTTCAATTATTTTATCCTAGTTATATTTTTCCAGGTTAGTATTTATATGCATCAATAATTAAAACTGATTATTAACATATTCATAAATTTTAAGAGATATCTGGTTACTCTGCTTTAAGCTGGTGACATATTCTTGTAAATTCTACAATTTATGCTTCAAGTCTGAGTTTTTATTATATCTTCATATATTTAGTATTTTAAAATTTGGAGTATAAAAAATGTGTTTCAGGAACAACCTGGACAAAAATGATTTTACCTTTAGGATCACATTTTTTAAAGGAAATTTAAAAGCCGTTTTTATTGCTGTTAATTATTTGGCTTATGCAATTACAAAATTTGCTTTTTACCAGATGTTACTAAATAGAGATCCATTCGAAGAATAGATGGGGAGAATGTCATTTGTTTGTTTATTTATTTATTTGTGACAACCGCACAAAAGGCCAGTGTTGGTTTTCTGTTCTTTCAATGGTTTGTGACCTTGGGCAAGCCACAGAAAGATTCAGCAGCTTGCCCCGTAATTAAAGGATACTAGGGCCTTCACTTCGCATCTTACTTATGACAATACTGAATGGAGTGATACAAAGCTATGAAAGTAGGGCAGTCACTCACTGAGAGCATGTCACCAGTCTTTACACATCTTTTTTTGGTGCTCTTCTTGAAAGAGAATATCTCTTGTGATACAAAAATCGAGGTGTCCTGTTTATTCTTGTTCCTGTTATTGTTATCTTGTCAGTCTCTCTGGAACTTGCATTGATTCTCTCTTGTCTATAGCAAAAACATTAAAATTCCAAGTAATGGTCTTCTAAATGATTAATAAAATGTCTTCCTCATTTCATAGCTATTTACCTGTACTCTCAATTTACAATCAAATTATTGAGATAAAGTAGTTCATCTTGGGAAAGACCCCTTCCTTTATATTCATTAAATTTTTATTTCTAGACAATCCATCCAAGATTCCTGTTAATCAGCAAGTATTTACTGGGAAGGTACTAGATTTTTATACCTATGAAGTCATTAAAGAAGATAGGAAGATATTTAAGATGGCCCCTATAGCTTAAAATCCTGATTGGTAAAATCAGATTATACAGAAAACCCCCAAATGACAGTGTAAATAAATTCTGAGTTATTATAGACATAATAGGACTTGAGTTGTGCTCATAAAAAAACACGGTCTGCATAAAGAATAAGGAAGAGGAGAGCATTCTAAACATTTAGAATAGCAAAATATGCTCAGGGTACAAAGAGAACAATAAGAGAGAAGCTGTCTGGAGCTAGTGCAGGGAGAACAGGCAGAGGTGATGAAAAAGACCTGAGTTCCAGTTGCATAGATGTTTTTTAATTCATATTTTAAAAACTGCATTGACTCAGAATAATTAAACTTTTTCATGATAATCCTATACTCCTTATTTGAAAGTATTTTTCCCACATAACAAATTATGTCATATTACCCTTCAGCTCAAAAGCACCATTTGATTTCTTATTATATCTTTGTTTAAGCTACTTAAAATATGAAATTTTCCTTATTTATTAGATAACCTAGCAGGCTTTCAGATAGAAATGTATCAAACTGAATTCGTCCATCATATTACCTCTTATCTATTTTCTCTTCTTGTCTTTGCTACATATAATTCTGCATGTAATGCTTTATAGAATTACATTACCATTCCCCATGTAACCCAAACCAGAAATAATAAGCCTCTTAGTTTTGGCTCCTAACTTTGTTTATTCAAATTTCAGTTGCATTTCAAGTCTTCCTCAGTCTATTTGTTAAATATTTTCCAGGTTATCACATATGTTTTTGTTTGTATGTTTGTCTGTTTACCGAACTCTACTACCTTTTTTGGTGGGCCTTCATCAGTTATTACCAGAATCTATAAATCCTAGTAATAAAATTATTAAACTATTGAACTATTAAAACTATTCAATTACTACTTTTAATTTTTACAATAAAACAAATCCTCATCCTAGTATACTCTTTCAGGATCCCTTCCCAGCCCTCCTGTTCAGCCTCCTCTCCTGCAGCTCTCTTTCTCTAACCATTCAGAATTAATCATATGTCCCATAATGAGTTCTTTATGGATCTATGAATTTGCCCATGCCATCTTTACATATTACAACTTAATCATTTTCCCATTTTCAACTAACAACCAACTCTGGTTCTTCAAGACCTCTCACATATTTACCTTCTCAAAGCCTTTTGTGAAAATGTCAACCTGAGGTGAGTTTCTCAACTTCGTTTGTTTATTAGATTATGGCATACTCATTAGCATGGCACCTTCAACCTTGTGTCATACTAAAATCATCAATTTACTTATTTGATTTACCCACATTCTGCAAGCTTGAGTTCAAAGACTCACCTTATCCTCTGCTTCTAGTAGAGCCATGAGGCCTACTTGTCACATATGCTCAATAATTGTTTCCTAAATAAGAAAACCTTATTCAGTTTCTCTGAAGTTTTCATAAGAAAAAAGAGGATGGTATTCAATCAGGATGAAAAATAATATTTGATTAACAATCCATAACTCTAAAGTATTGAGCAAGTCATGTTATGAGGAATCAGAGTAAATATCTGATAATTAGAAGCTGCATATACTAATCCAATGAAAGGCCGATTAGAAAGAGCAATTACTTATAACCAGAGGAGTTCAAGAAAGAGTGTACTAACTTCTTGGTTTTAGAAAGATAATTCGTGCTTCAGACAACACTTAGATTCTACTTTTGAACCTCAAGTGTTTAGATTTTGTATCCTAATCAAATTCGAGGAATACTTTTGAGTTTGATCATGTGTCAGGAACCATGTTATTCTATGAAATGCCCAACATACCTATGAGTTTTTCTGATTCCAGATTCAACATTTTAGTTGCAGATTGGAAGGTCAGTGGAAGTGCAAGGGAAATAACTTTAAGGAACAGATCCTAAGGTAGTGATTTCTAAATACTGAAATAAAAATAAAGAAACAATAATAACAGGGAAGAATAACAGAATTTTTATATTAGACTATAAAAACCATGGAGAGTTAGATTTTTTTAAATCACTTCAGACAGTTTTGTGTGCCCACTCTATGAAACAAAAGCTTGAAAGTGAGATTATGCTGTTGGAACAGGCAGGCAGCCATGCTTATTTTGTGGAAAATGCTCTGAAAACAAGAATCAATTAAACAAAACCTAATCATGCTCACCATGGAAAAAAAGAAGTTTTGCAATTTAAACAAATAACTACTTTGCATTTTTATCATTTGCATGATTAGTCCTACTTTGTCAGATTTGGCATGGGTCAGAAAGGTACAGAAAGTAGCCATCTTTTCCTTCATTCTAAAGGGTTAATTATCTTTAGAGTCCTTTTCTTTTTATTATATAAAAAATAAAATTATATATTAATAAAATATTATATAAAAGATTATCATTTTCCCTGAAAACTTCATAGCATGCCTCATCAGAAGACAATTGGAAAGCTACTTGCAGTAGGTATAATATTATAATTTGTATGTATAAACCTGAGTATTGTTGATTTCATACTCATCCAGCAAATAGCTACTGTTCTGTAATGTAGTCAAAATGAGGTAATTGATAGTTTCTCAGTATTGACTGGAATTTTCTTGTGAGTCTAATATGCATAAATACTCTGAGACAATCATTTAATTGATTTACACATTTCAGAATCAAATAGTTTTCCCTTGAATTATTTATAGGAAAAACAAAATTTAAACAAATAAAATTAAATATGACAAAGCAATAGTATACTGCATATACATAGGGTAGTTATTCCATTTTAATACTGACCTGCCTGTACCTCAAACTGATTTCTCCTTATACACGACACTAGTAATGACAGCTTTATTTACTATCCCCACTAAAAGAGCCAATGGAATTTTTTCTAAGTGCCTATTGCACAAAGTTGTATGAACAAGTTAAAGAGATATGTTTATGAAATAATGGCTATATGTTTACCTATTAATTAATCAAATAATAAAACAAAACTATATCTTGAGTGCACAAAGATTTCCCAGTCTAAACTAGTTACCAAGAGAGGCATACAGAAATGTTGAATAATTTCTCCAAAGTGGCAAATCGCTTAGCAAATAGAAAAAATAATAGCAATCTATTTTTTTGTTAAGAATATCCATATAATTTTGTTAGTTTTCATTTTACCACATCTATACAATTTACAGTGCTCATAATAGATATATCAGTCTTTACAAAAAATAATGATTGACTTATTCCTTTACTAAAATTGACTTGCAAAACTAAGTGGTGACATAGGTCTTAGGTTTCACCAACTCATTCATTTTCCCGAACAATAACAAATGTACATTGAATGGCAAAAATGAAAGGAAATTATATGCCTGTCAATAAATAAAATTATGTAATTGTTTGTGGTTCTTTTAATCCCTTTATTGCTTTAATTGTGTTTTCTTCTACATACTGCCAAATTTTTTAAAAAATTCAGTAATCTACAAATTGTTTCTCCAGTAACTAGTACAGTGGCCAAGTTTTCTTGGATTTTCCAGCTGACCTTTTAGTCACAGTATCCTTCAAAATAAGTTTAAGTTTTGAGCTTACAATCACTTAACAGGCCTGAAAACTGCACAAGAAACTAAATTGCACCCACGTGCAACTAAATGCCTAAGAAGCCACTGGAACTTCACACCAAGAGTATAATTAGAAACTCAATTTGCACCTGCAAGTAGACATCTGCAGGCTCTATTAGACACAAACTTAATTTTGCCTGGACAATACATATCTGTCACAAAACAGCTGACATACAGTTTTATACTAGGAATAGGCACTTGGACTTTTAGAACTTCACTGAAGAACTCAGCCTTGGAATGTTTTCTTATGTCCAGACCTTGTCTGCTCTCAGGCAGCATTCTCCAAACATTTCTAAAATATAACAAATTAGCTCTATCCTTTCCTTTTTCATATCACTTGTTTATTCTGTTGGGCCACACAGAGTTGTAGCAGTCTTTGATTCTGTATTTCTGAGATTTGTTGCATCTAAGTATCTGTGTTCTACAGAATTATGCATGCTATTCTTCAACACAAACCAACTAGTAATCACCAATGTTTGCTCAGCTAACACTGGGGTTTTCTAAACATAATACTTTTTATAGAAAATTTATGTATTCTTGAGGAATCATTTTTATTTCAAGAAGAAGCTTAAAGGAAGAGAGTGTTAATGAATGTTCTAATTTCTTCATTAGATTTTATTATGCTATCACTGAACTCATTGGTAGAACACATATTTCTTGTTTCTGGGATAACTCTTCTCTTCTTTTAAAGGTTTAAAAAGAAACATGATAACTCATATTTCAGGAAAAAACATCTAAAAAACGGTGAAGTAATTTATTTGTGCCTTTCAAAAAATGTGTTGTAAGACATAAAGATATCATAGGCAACAAACTGACGATGTAACATCTTTTCTGTCTGTGCAATCAAATCAACTAAGGTGCTTTGAAGAATTATCAAAACAGGAAAATAGACAAAGAAATCACTTCATATTAACTTCATATCTTTTATGTGAATCTAGATGTGTCTCTCTGTTTGGCTTGCTATTTTCCACTGATTAGGATATTTTTGCCTCTCTGTAAAGAAAGATGTTAACTTGTAGAAAACTAGTAACAATGCAAATAATCCTGGACCAAACTTATTTGGCAAAGGTGTAAATGAAATAGAGAACGAAATAACTCCAAAGTTTATAGTGTTATTGTTTTGTAGCACATACACCAGTTTTTACCTAAATTAGTAATCCTATTCAAATTTAGTTTTCAGTGACTGTAAATACTTTCATCTTTCTCTTTGAACCAGCCATTCTACCTTGCTGGATCTCTCTTAAATGAGCAAATTCAGTCTGACACAAAAATCTCAACTTATGCTTTTAAAAGTCATTTCTTAACACTTTCTAGTAGTTTTTGATTTACAAAAAAGTCAGGGAGATAGAACAGAAAATTCTGATATACCTCTCACCCACTTCCCCTTGTTAAAATCTTACATTAGTATGGTACATTTGTCACAACTAATGAAGCAGTTCTGAAACATTAATATTAACTAGAATTCACACTTCATTCAGATTTGCTTATTTTTTCCTTAATGCTCTTTTCCCATTTCAAGATTTCATCCAGGATATATATTACATTTAATTATCATATATTTTATGCACCTCTAAACTGTGACCATTTCCCTAACTCTTCTTGATTGTAATGAACTCGGCAGTTTTGAGGGATACTAGTCAGATATTTTGTAGAATATCCCACAACTGTTATGTTTATTTCTCTCATAATTACACTGGGGTTATGGGTTTTTGCCGGAAAGACTACTGAGGTAAAGTGAAATTCTCATCACATCATATCAAAGGGAAATTCTATCAACCTACCTTACTATTATTGATGTAAACCTTAATCACTTGGCTGAGGGAGTCTGTCAGTTTTCTCCCCTGTATAGTTACTCCCATACCCCGTCATACTGTATTTTTGGGACAATGTGCACACCACATGTAAATAGTAGGAAGTTATTCTCCACCTTTTTCATGGAAAGTATCTATTAAAATTATTTGGAATTCTTTTGCACAGGAATTTGTTAGCTCTCTCCCATTGTTTATTAATTCAATCACTTATTTATATTCCAATGGAGTTATGAATATTTATTTAATACCTTGAGGTAAAATCTAATATTACTTTATTTATTTTTCTGCTCAAATTCTTCTAACTTAGCCATTGGGAGACTTTTCAGTTTGCTCCCTTTGACATACTGTGTGTGCATGTGTGTGTGTGTGTGTGTGCACTTTCTTATTCTCTGGTACAAGATGCTCCAGACTCATCTTACATATTACCCCTCTCCCAGTCCCCAAATCAATCATTTTCCTTTAATGGAGAATAAGATTAGAAACTAAATCTGTGCACTAGTTGAAGAGCCTTTTTTTGCTTTTACTCTTACAAATTATACTTTGACACAATTAAATAGATTTTATCGAGGCCACAGATTATTTACAGCAATCTGTTTTCCAAGCTTATTCTTTGTGGTTAACTAAAACGTATGTTATCATTTTTGACAGAAGAGCAGACTGCCTTCAAGGAACCATCAGAATAGAATGTGAGCAATGCTTGATGAATCCCTCATATTATCCATGGATTTTATAATAAACTAAAATATAGCAATGGAATAAATCTAGCATAGATACAGGGAGATAGAGATACCTACTCCAAATTTCTTCCTTTCCCATTATTTCATTCTTATTTTACTTTGAAATACTGCAAAATTTAAAAGAAACATTGGCATCAGGTGAGAGATTTGAAGAAACAAAGTATTATATAACTCCATCTAAATACATTGAAGTCGTACATTTAATATAATATCTCGGTTGGTAAATCATCTGCTTCTTCAGATTTCAATTTGTAACCATTGTAAATCTCTACTTTAGAATATACTTTTGATTAAACTTGTTTCAGTTTATCACCTGGAGAGGGCTTTGTAGAGTTAGCATCACAGTTGATATTTACTAATACTATTAATGCACTATCCTACAATTTGTCCATAAATATGTGGAAAAGACATACTGCCTCTGCCATGACAGATGCAAATTGAAAATGCATTAGAATTTAATTACATCCCAGGATGAATATTCTATGAGAATGTGAGAGCAAGAATAAGCTTAGATGTCAGGGGTCAAATATCAATAATTTTACACATAAGATATACATTCAATTATAACCTCCATTCTACTCATTTATTTAATTTTTAAACCCAGCTCAGTTCCACTTTGAAAGTACAAAAGAGAAATTTATTTTCTCATTCACCATGGGATATAATGAATACTGTATATGTATTTTTTCTTCATCATAATAATTATTTTCAGTTACCAGGACTATGCTATATATACTTTTTTTATACATTAAGTACAGAACTTGAAAATTTGAAGCAGTGTAATCCATAAGTAAATTTCTGACTTTTAATTCACAAAATGGAAGCGGAAAACTTCAAGATCACTATAAATAATTTTTTACTTCCTTTTAGGGATATTCAATGCCATGCAGTCAGTAAAAGTATGATAAACTGTGCCATATTTACTAGTAGTGGTAGTAAATTGTTTAACAACTTCACTACTTCTGTTATAAAACTCACATGGCTTAGAGTCCATAGAAACCCACTTTAAAAAGAAATATAGCTTTCAACCATCTGCTATTCCCTCTAAGTGCCCATAATGTACTCTTGGGACCCTTGTAGAGGCAGGAGGTTTACTGAATCTATTCACTTCCCTCAGGGGAGAAACTTGATAATGAGCATGCATTTCTTTATCAGCTATCATATAGCTTGATTCTTTTATAATGTATGAAGTGAGATTGAGTGCCATCTTATGTATACCTCTTCACATTGTAGCTTTCCTGTTAGTGGCAGAGCCAGACTTATTTTCAGGAAAGCTACTGGTTGTAGCAGCTCAATGTGACACCTGGAATTTGCTCTTTTAAAGTAAGATAGCTAATTGAGTCTAATGCCCCTAACAGGAAAAAGAGAACGGATGTCTGCTTTTCTAAATTTCAACATTCCAAGTCTTTTTCAAGTACCTATTGACATTTCTAAAGTATACTTTCTTTTTCTCTTTTTAAAGAACATTAAGATTTTTGAAGCCTTGCAGTTTAGCGTAGGACAGAAAACACCCTACTTATAGCCACTCAGTCACGTATAAATTACTCTGGTCTAGAAAAAAGATCTCTTCTTACAAACACTTTCAAAATCTAGTGACAATCTAGTCCTGCCCACAAGCTGAAAGTTGTTTCTCACATATATTAGGAGGTAAACATCCTTTTTAGGGCTTTGCCTCCTATTATCCTTCATGTTCTACTTTTTTATTATTCCTAGATGCTCTTGCAGACTTCTGTAAATAAACCAAGCTTATGGTTATTAATATAGAAAGTTTTTCTGATTTGCTTCTTATACATCTCTATTGGTTTTTCTAGTACATTTTATTGAGCTTGCCAAGAACAATTTTTATATTCAAACATATTTCATCCAGTCATATTTAAGGTTACACTATATTTCTAGCACTCATACTGATATTTTATCCTCTCCCAATATAAAAATAAAAAAGGAAAGACTACCTAGAGGTTTTAAATTCCTAAAATTACATAGTCAAAATATTGGTGTTACTTTATTTAGACAGCAGAGAGCAGTATAAATCTAACCCTATGCAAATAAATGGTTTCATCTTAGCGTGCATTAATGCAACCAGGACAAAAATCCGGGGAATGCATAAAATCCACATTTTCTGTTTAATAACTCTCGCTGCATTCTTTCCTTTTTCCTTTTTTAACAGAGAGTAACTAATTGGGAGAATTAAACAATACTATAAGAATGGGACCATCATATTTCTCTTAGGAAACTACCAAGTGCATGGAATAGAATTCAATTCAGAGAACTAATCAACAGAATTTGTTTTCACATTTAAAATATCTTAAAGAAAAACTTTTTTTCAATCCTATTCAGAGATACTTATTCCAACTTTCAAGCCAATGGAATTTCTCTCTAATAATCTGGAATGTGGCCAAACTACATCAATCAGAGACCAATTATATTTAAGCTCTGGTGTTATTTCACTACTGGAGATTTTAGTATGAGGTTTTAGTTTACTTGAGCTTTTACGTCTATTCCTTAATGAGGAATAGCTTCTTGAAAGTCAACATACTGAAAGTCGTAATTAGATACTTCCACATGAGTTTTTCCCCATGTTTTTTTTTGAAGTATGAAATGCTGCTTCTAAGGTTTAGAAGAGATAGAGCACTCAGAGTTCATTTAAAGTTTGAATTTTTAATAACTCAAAATACATATGATAAACAGATATTGTTACTTCATATAAATGAAATTCGTGTGTTTGATTTAGAAGTAGTATCTGAATTCAACAAGCAAAAAAAAAATTAAAAAGTGAGCAAAAGACATGAACAGGCACTTTTGAAAGAAGGCATACAACAGCCAATAAATATATGAAAAAATGCTCAACATCACCAATCATCAGAAAAATGCAAATCAAAACCACAATGAGACACCATCTCAAACCAGTTCAGAAAGGCTATTATTAAAAAGTCAAAAAACACAAGATACTGATGAAGTGGCAGAAAAACGGAATGCTTATACTCTGCTGGTGGGTAGCCACTGTGGAAAGCAGTTTGGAGACTTCCCAAAGAACTTAAAACATAACTGCCATTCAACTCAGCAAACCCATTATTTGGTTTATACCCAAAGGAAAATAAATTGTTCTACCAAAAAGACACATTAATTCATATATTCATAACGACATCATTCACAATAGCAAAGATGTGAAGTCAACCTAGATATCTATGAATGGGGGATTCAATAAAGAAAATGTAGTACATATACACCGTGGAATACTATGCAGCCGTAAAAAGAACAAAATTGTGTTCTTTGTATCAACATGGATGCAGCTGTTCTAAGCAATTCACAGGAATGGAAACCAAATAGCACATGTTCCCACTTATAAGTAGGAGCTAAGCATTGGGTACACATGGACATCAAAATAGTGACAACAGACACCAGGGATTACTAGGGTGGGGAGAGAGGCAGGGGAGCAAGGCCTGAAAAACTAACTATTGGGTACTATGCTTACTACCTGGGTGACGGGATCATTTGTACTCCAAACCTGAGTGTCACACAATATACTCATGTAACAAACCTGTACCTGTACCCGTGAATCTAAAATAAAAGTAAAAATTATATATATTATATATAATATATATAATTGTGTGTGTGTATATATATATAATTGTGTGTGTGTATATATATATAATTGTGTGCATGTATATATATATAAAATTGTGTGTGTGTACATATATATTTAATATATGTAATATAAAATATATATAATATATATTATATATAACATATAACATCTGAAGGTCCTCCATATGGGATATGAGTTGGAGTCTTAATTATATTCTTCTTCGGTTTATTCTTTTGCTTTTTCTTCATTTTATCCTACTTCATTTTTTTATCTTATTCTGAATTTGCTATAGCAAGTATTTAAAAACTTCTACAAGATATTACATCTGTCAATTCCAGACTCCCAAATAGGCATAATTAAGAAAACTTATAAAAAAAAAAAGCATGTTTTAGCTCTATTTATAGAAATTAGTTTGGGCATAAATTACCTCATGTCTTTTTAGTACCTATACTATTGTCACCTGAGGTTATTTAGAAAGTAAAACTGGTGAAGGCAAACCTGAGCAAACAGGCTTCTGTAAGAAAGAGCTGGATTTGATAGACACAAGCAGGCAACCTCCCAGAATGTCACCACGTTCACTTATATTTCACATTCTTGATCTTTTGAAAGTTCAACTAATTCACTTTCTTCTCTTTGGCAACAAGGCATAGTAGCAAAAGCATAGGTTTTAAACACAGAAAGGATTTGTCCTTGGTCTATTGTCTACTATTTTTAAACAATATGATATTTACTCTTCTCTGAGTCTTAATTTTCTCTCAATAAAATTAAGAAATGAATACTTTCTTCCCATGAATGCCATGAAAGTTAAATGATACGATCTTAATGAGGTATACAGCTCACAGTAGATACTCAAAAATGTTGTTTCTTTTTTCCCTTTTCTTAAATGTATAAATTAATAATTGAAAAGTGAATAGCATTTTCCTCTCTGAAGGATATTTGGTATAAGATATATTGACCTAATATTGTGGCTTTTCCACAGCATTTTCTTTATGAAGTATACATTGAACGGAGAACTCATAACATATCTCAATATGATAAAATTATCCAAATTATTTTTATTTGTATGCCTCTAAATCATTTTTCTCAGCTGTTGAATTCAAACTATTAAGGGTGCTGTAATTCTGAGTTGACAAAACTTCTATCTCCAAATCCTGGACTGTGATAGACTGTGATTTTGGGTACCTCAATGAACCACACTCTATTATTCACATCCCCCACCCCCCACATTGATTCTAGCCTTGACATATGATTAACTTTGATCAGTGGAATGTTAGTATGATGTAGGCAGACTCAATAAGCACTTGCACTTGAAGGCAGTTTCTCTTAGAATACTCCTTGAAACCCATGTTAAAATAATGCCTATGCAACTATTAAAGAGGTCTCCATGAAAAACAACCCAAGGCTTATACCCTATGTAAATTCCCGAGTGGTGGCCAGCCCAAACATAGCTAGCCATGTGAGAAGATGATTCGGACCCTTCAGTTATTTCAGTAGCTCACCCAAGACCACATGAAGTGGAACCATCCAGTCAATCTATAGAATTATTAGGAATAATAATTTATAAATGGACCGGGCACGGTGGCTCATGCCTGTAATCCCAGCACTTTGGGAGGCCGAGGCGGGCAGATCACCTGAGGTCAGGAGTTCGAGACCAGCCTGACCAACATGGAGAAACCCCGTCTCTACTAAAAATGCAAAATTAGCCAGGTGTGGTGACACATGCCTGTAATCCCAGCTACTAGGGAGGCTGAGGCAGGAGAATTGCTTGAACTCGGGAGGGGGAGGTTGCAGTGAGCCGAGAGTGAAACTCTGTCTCAAAAAAAAAAAAAAAAAAAAAAAAAAATATATATATATATATATAACTGATATTTTCTGCACCAATAGAATATAAAAGACCATATAATGAGTCTTGAAACATATATTTTTAAGGATAGTTATCAAGTCTACGTTTCAGATAAAATCAGGGAGAAACAAAAAGTAAAAAGAAGTTCTATCTGTGGTAAAAGAAAAAAGAGAGAGAACAAGAAATAGGATTAATATGTAACAAACAGAAAAGAAATCAGTACATTTTGAGTAAAGCTTCACTTTTTTTTCTTAGTGATGAGGGAAATAAAAGATAGTACTATAAATGTGAATGCACACTTTAAAAGAATAAAGACCTATAAAACTCACTGGCTTTTGATTTTTTTAAAATTTGAATATTCATTTACAACGTTAGGTCTTGAGAAAATAAACATAAATAAGATAAGGTATATATTCTCACGGAATTCACAGATTTAAAACTGTCCAAAATTCCAGTGCCACAGATAATCTGCTCCTAATGTTTTTTACAAAATTAAAAATCCATTTTAATTCTAATTCCATCATCTAAAACAAAGCCTCAATGCAACTACAGACTTAGGCCAAACAATATTGATAATTTTTTCATCTTATAGTTGTACATTTTCACCAATCCAGAAAACAACCAAGTATGTGTCTAAAATAACAAAATATAGTGTTTTGAAAATTGATTATAGTGAATTACCTGTGGCTTATTTTGAATCAATGACATTTCCTGTTTTATTCATTTATATAAGATTTACATTCCCTTCCCTAGGACCCATGAGCCAGACCACAAATCCTAACTCATTAAAAAGTATCATTTGTAGCTGATAAACTCCATCTACATTTAAGGATTGTAGCTTTACACAGTCAATGTTCGACCCGAGATGAGGTATGAGTGGAATTTCTTGTAATTCTGCAGCTTTTTACATGTTTAAAAATCAATAAGACTTTATTCAGCCACACTGTATCTTTCTTGTGCTTCTTAAGCCAATACATAATCACAAATTACAGAGTTAGGAGAGTTTAGTCATGTGGGATTTAAAACAATGTGCTGTGTATTTTAGTAGTAAATGCAAATAAAAATTTCAAAATTATTTCTGGAAAAGGTTTTGGAGTGTCATATATATTGCATGTTAAATGATATTAATTGACAATATAGATGATTATTTTAATGGAGAATTTAAATAAAATGTAATAATTTAATAAAATAAAAATTCTTAATAAAACAAAACAGTAAATTTGAGAATAAAAATAGAATTTCTTGGCCTGGCACAGTGGCTCATGCCTGTAATCCCAGCCCTTTGGGATGTCAAGGTGGGTAGATCACCTGAGGTTAGGAATTCAAGACCAGCCTGGCCAACATGGTGAAACCCTGTCTCTACTAAAAATAAAAAAAGAATAGTCAGGTGTGGTGGCACATGGCTGTAATCCCAGCTATTCGGGAGGCTGAGACATGAGAATCACTTGAACCTGGGAGATGGAGGTTGCAGTGAGCCAAGATCATGCCACTGCACTCCAGCCAGGGTGAAAGAGCAAGACTTTGCCTCAAAAAAAAGAAAAATAAAATAAAGAATTTCTTTAAAGTAGTAAAATTGAAATATTACAATGATATTTTAATCTATATGTATATATTTATGCATATACATATATATACAAATGTATACATGTTTTTTTCTTGAGAGTTTATGCATGCACTCTACTATAAAGATTTATGTCTGTGCAATTGGTATAATACCTTGTTTTTATGTGGCCTCCTCTCAAACAAGTGGCAATAAAATCTTTATAGCATCTAATACTGACATATTTTATTTATGTCTCTTGGTTTCTCTCCATTTTCCTTTTTAAACCACATAAATCAGCATCTTAGAAACAATGAGGTCATTGATAAGAGCTCAAAAAGACAGACTCAATTCAGAGCGTTTAACTTGAAAAAAAAAAATCAAGGGACTTAAGAAATGAAGTAATATGTAACATTATCCCCCAATAGAAGATTACCCATACAAAACTCAATACAGAAAAATGTTATTACATGTAGAATTTTGAGAGTATATTTCAATATCTGTATGTATTACTCTTAGATTGACAAAAGGGGCTGTGAGAGAAAGTTTGACAATCCTGGTAGGAAATACATTTTGGATTAAGAAGACTAGTGAACTTCCACAGGTTATGATCCACCCTCATCTTATTTAACTCTTCATATTTTACCAATTATTCCACGTTGGCCTCATAATGAACCCTCAGAAGGAATTAAATAATGAATCAGATTTTCTCTTATGAGTTACTTGAACTCACAGTTTTGCTTTACAATCTTTTCTTTATCACCACCCATAACTATCTACTTCTCCAGGTTAATTTGTTTTAGTCAATTCCAGCTTCTATAACAAACTACCATAGACTGGGTGGCTTAAACCACAAACATTTATTTCTGACAGTTATGGAGGGTACAGAATTCCAGATTAAAGCTGCAGCAAATCCAATGTCGGGTGAGGGCCCTCTTCCTGGTTTATAGTCTTCTTTTTCTATCCTCACAAGGTAGGTGGTGAGCAGAGAGGACGCAAGTTCTCATTTCTTATCCTAAGTGCACTAATCCTATTAATGAGGGCTCCACTCCCATAATCTAGTTACATATCAAAGGGTCCACCTCCTAATGCCATCACATTAGTGGTTAGAATTTCAAAATATGACTTTTTGGAGACATTCAGTTGAGAACATCAGTGTATTTTAATTCTTAGAAAATTGTATATTAAAATCTCAAATCCCTCTACCTCAAATGCCACCACTCT
This sequence comes from Homo sapiens, assembly GCF_000001405.40. Taxonomy (NCBI): domain Eukaryota; kingdom Metazoa; phylum Chordata; class Mammalia; order Primates; family Hominidae; genus Homo; species Homo sapiens. Next base: position 103,925,699 of record NC_000003.12, read on the forward strand.
ACTTTAGGTCTTGTCATTTCTTTCCTAGATATGTGATAGAACTGTAATTTGTCTTCAAATATGTAAGCAGGAAAAATGTAACTTTTGTGTGAATTAAGATGACTGCTCAATCTTTCACAGTTCCTTTTCCTAAATCAGAAATAACTCTCCAGTAATTGCAAATTGGTGTGATATCAGCAAAGCTACACCCCAAATAGAGCTACAAGGCCACAGCAAGTGCCATTAGCCATATCTAGAGAATAAGAAGTGGTTTTATTAGTTATCATGAAGAATGTCAAAATGTGTTTGTTAATTGGCACAATGGATGCTAGAAATTGGCTCTTATTAGTAAATGTAAAGTGATAATGATAACATATATTTTTTGTAGTAGCATTGTTACAGCTATACGTTACATGAGCTGGTCCTGTGTACAATGCCTCCAAGCCACCGTGGACACATCAGTAAAGTGAATCTATCTATTATTGTACACAGTGCAGAAACAGAATCACCCTGAATTTCAAACAGATGACTGAGAATCTGAAACCCAGTCTCTACTAAAAATACAACAACAACAACAAAAAATCAGCTGGGCGTGGTGGCGGGCGCCTGTAGTCCCAGCTACAGGCTGAGGCAGGAGAATGGCGTGAACCGTGAACCCCGGAGACGGAACTTGCAGTGAGCCGAGATCGCGCCATTGCACTCCAGCCTGGGCGACAGAGCAAGACTTCGTCAAAAAACAAACAAACAAAAAAACCCCACTCATTTTTGTATTAAAAAATTGCCAGCCCTTGAGAGGCAGAGCACCAAAAATACCCAAGGACATGCCACTGAGTGCCTTCTCTGGAAGGCTGACGGCCAGCCACATGTGGCCAGATCTGTCCTCACTTTTAAAGCTTATGTGAAACACTCCAGCTGTTCCTCTTTTAAGTCCTTCTATCTCAAGATTTTCCTCCTCTACTATTTGTAATTTCTTAAGCATGTCAGCAAACAATGAGCCAGCCTTCATGAGTTCTAAGTGTGAAGACTGGAGACTTTCCCTTTGTAAGGCTTAAATCTGAGTGCAGCAAAGAATGAAGAAACCGAACACCAGAATGTTAAATGATAGCGGAGCCGGTGCCAATTGAGGGAAACACTCCTACCCTCCCTTAGAGCTCACTTTGGTAATATTAATGTTTAACCGGTTAGCAAAATTAACACCATTATTTCAATAGCTACTCTGTTGTGCATAGTAAATGCTGCAAGATGAACATCACATTTGGTGAAGCTGGTTTGAGAAACTTTTGGGGGAAATTGTGCCTGGCCCTCAACAGGACCCTAAGCTCAGAGAAATGAACAGAGGCCCCTGAAACTGCTGTGTCTGCGACCATGCGTGTGCAGCTGGATCCCGTGGTAGCCAGCGAGACTCCACTTCCAGCAGATGAGGTGGACAATGAAGACAATGAGGATCAGGTCTGTCAGGGCGCTGCCCATGGAAACGGGGATCAGCATGTTTTTCCTCCTCCAGGAGACATTCCTCCGCGGATCAGACCATGCTCCTTCCACATTGAAAGCCTGTGCTCACACTTTGAATATGTTGACTGAAAGACCTTCATGAGCCGGACACGCTCCTTGGTGTTACACTTGCAGGAGTTGCCGATGGAGGCCTGCAGTACTCTCGGAGTTGTTGGCAGCTTTAAAGGTAGGGTCCAGAAGAGTCATATATATTTTTATAATCTATGGATTATAAAATTGATAACAAGATAATGTCCTAGGAATTATAAGCACCCCAAAGGTGGGGTTTTTTTAGAAACCCAATTGTTTAGAAAAAAAAAAGTTCTTTCTTTTTGTGAATAGGATATAAGAATTTAATGAATCTTATATCCTATATCTTTGAAAATGTTCTCAAAACTTGATTCCCAGGTAGGACTACACAAACAGTGGTAGAGAGAATTGCATATTGCCATTTGATAACAATATCATAAAACAATCCTGTCTCTGAAATTTTGTCACAGTGGCCTTATAAACCTATCAGTGGCAGTAGATGGATCAAAAAACAAAATAAAAAGGTGTGCAATTGACAATGTTTGTGCCCCCAACCCCAAATCCATACATCAAGCCCTTAATCCCAATGTGTTGATATTTGCACAGTGTATCCTTTGAAAGGTAATCAGGTCATGAAGGTGGAGCATGTGTGCATGAAATTAATGCCTTCATAAGGATACAAAATGTTTTGTATACTCATACTGATATAGGTGAATTCTTAACCACACCTGCAGTATCATCATTTTTCTTGTACCCACTGTGTTTCTTTTTATTTTATTCACCACACAAGCTTTAGAATATTTTTATATTACTCTCTTGCTTAAATTATATCAAATACTTCTGAAGGCTCTCAGAACATTTTCCAAGATCTTTCATGGGGCCGATTGATGACATCATCACCTCCTCTTCACACTAATTCTAGGCCATTCTCTCCTTCAATCACTATTCAATCACTACTTTTTGCCCATATTTACTTCCATCTTTGGGGTTCTTTCAACTCCTGGAACATTATTATCTTTTTTCAACTATTATTTCTTTTTAGGTTTCTCTTCAACATATACATATATGCCTAAAATACCTAAAAAAAAATCACCAAATAAGAGGTTTGCGGGGCCTAATAATCAGATACAAAGAATAAGTGTTTATTCTTTCAATGACCAAAATCAGAACTCACATAGTTTTGAAAGATACATTTTGATGGTAGAAATCTTCTTCTTCTTTGGTATTATAACACACATGCCCAAAACATTAGTAGCTTATAGCAGCAAACATACATTTCTCACCCACATTACAATATTATGTGAACATCTGTGGTTGACTGTTGTGACCCTTCTCCACATGTATTCTTATTCTGCAATCAAGGTTGAGAGTATTGTCCCTATCTTGGACATGACATTCTTATGGCAGAGGAAAAGAGCAAGAGAGCTGGTAGAAATAAGTAATGACTCGAAACCTTTGCTCAAAATTACCATATATTACTTTCTCTCATGCTGCATTGCAAAAAGTAAGTAACTATCCAAGACAATGAAATAAGAATTACATCCCTCAAACAAAAAGACTAACAGGGACCATGGCAAGGGGTGAGAATATATTTGCCTCGTGTAGGGGTGGCATATGATTACGTTTTGAACAATAATAAGATCTACGACAGAAACATAGCTACAAACGACTTTTCTGAGAAACCAGGCTTACATGACTTCAGAATAATAAGGTGTGGCATGTAATTAAATTAATATTATAAATCTATGAGAGCGAGGGGGGGACAGAAGTCTAAAGGCAGAAACACATGAAAAAAAAATTGATTTCTGAAACTTCTAAGAAATCTGAAATGAGTCCCAGTAAATTTCTAGGACATATTTTCCGAAGCATATTTAAAGAACACTGAGAAACAGAAAGACTAATCATCTGGAACCAGCATGGTTCACGAAGAACAAGTCATGCCAAAGCTTGTTGATAGAGTGCATCAGAATTTCAAAAGGCATCTAGGAGATTTTCTCATGATAATTTTGGATTCAAATCCAATGAGATAAACTGTCATTCATTCACTTCTCCCATGTTTTCATCTGTTCTACAATAATTTCATGAGAAAGACAGGCGGATTCCTTTTGAAATTCTGATACATGATTTCAAAAAAACTTGAAATAGGGAAATAAGAGAAGCAAAAGCAAACTCAAAAAAGAGAGGCAACAATAACTTCAATGTTAAGTACCAGAGTATTAGGCTACATAGTATTAAAGTCTCCCCTTTCAAAACATCCTGGAGATTTGTACTAAGGCTATAAGTGGAGCAAACTGACTCTAGGGAGAAGGCAACCTTGATGACTCAGGACAGAGAGTCTGAGAATCTTCAAAATAACCACAGTCTGATCTTACCAAAATTCCACATTTAAGAGTACATTAGCAGTAATTAGACATTATGAGATGAAGAATTTCAGATAATTTAGCCTAATCCACATCCTTATTGATTAGCTACACTGAAGATCAATTTGTTCAGAAGTCATTTCCTCTTCAAGATTCCATAAAACTGTAATTTGTTTGTATTAATCTAACCCTTTTATCATCTCCTCCACTGTTTCCTTTTCTATGTCCTTACTCTAACTGTTACCATTTTACAAATGATTATTTTTTATATTGCATCTATTTACTTGCTTTGTTTCCCTAATCGATAATGACTCCATTTCCAATTCTGGATACTCGCCTTTTATTTACTATCCCCCACCCCATCAATCTCCTTATAGATGACTTTGATTAATTTAGTAGGATGCCTTTGTGATGGTGGACACATTAAATTTTTTAAAAATGTTATTTTCCTCCTCTTCCAACATTTTTCAGGCTTCTAAACTAATAACAAGTCTGCTTTCAAATTTCACCAATTTTACAAAAATAATTTAAAATAAAACTTTTTAAAACTGATTTTTGTATCCTACTACTTTCCTGAATTCATTTATTAGTTCTAACAGGTTTCTTTCTTAGAGTCTTTAGGGATATATATATACACACACACATATACTTTAAGTTCTGGGATACATATTCATAACGTGCACGTTTGTTACATAGGTATACACGTGCCACGGTGGTTTGCTCCACCCATCAACCCATCATCTACATTAGGTATTTCTCCTAATGTTATCCCTCCCCTATCCCCCCACACCCTGACAGGCCCTGGTGTGTGATGTTCCCCTCCGTGTGTCCATGTGTTCTCATTGATCAACTCCCACTTATGAGTGAGAACATATGGTGTTTGGTTTTCTGTTCCTGTGTTAGGTTGCTGAGAATGATGGTTTCCCATGTCATCCACGTCCTTGCAAAGGACATGAACTCATCCTTTTTTATGGCTTCATAGTATTCCATAGTGTATATGTGCCACATTTTCTTGATCCAGTGTATTATTGATGGGCACTTGGGTTGGTTCTGAGACTTTGCTATTGTGAACAGTGCTGAAATAAACATACATGTGCATGTGTCTGTATAGCAGAATAATTTATAATCCTTTGCGTATATACCCAGTAATGGGATGGCTGGGTCAAATGGTATTTCTGGTTCTAGATCCTTGAGGAATCGTCACACTGTCTTCCACAATGGTTGAACTAGTTTACAGTCCCACCAACAGTGTAAAAGTGTTCCTATTTCTCCACATCCTCTCCAGTATCTATTGTTTCCTGAATTTTTAATGATCAGCATTCTAACTGGCATGAGATGGCATCTCATTGTGGTTTTGATTTGCATTTCTCTAATGACCAGTGATGATGAGCTTTTTTCATGTTTGTTGGCTGCATAAATGTCTTCTTTCTGTTCATATCCTTCACCCACTTTTTGATGGGGCGAAGTGTCTGTTCATATCCTTTGCCCACTTTTTGATGGGGTTGTTTTATTCTTGTAAATTTATGTTCTTTGTGGATTCTGGATATATTAGCTGTATGTCAGATGGATAGATTGCAAAAATTTTCTCCTAATCTGTAGGTTGCCTATTCACTCTGATGATAGTTTTTTTTGCTGTGCAGAAGCTCTTTAATTAGATCGCATTTGTCATTTTGGCTTCAGTTGCCATTGCTTTTGGTGTTTTAGTCATGAAATATTTGTCCATGCCTATGTCCTGAAAGGTATTGCCTAGGTTTTCTTCTAGGGTGTTTATGGTTTTAGGTCTTACGTTTAAGTCTTTAATCCAATTTGAGTTAATTTTTGTATAAAGTGTAAGGAAGGGGCCCAGTTTCAGTTTTCCACATATGGCTAGCCAGTTTTCCCAACACCATTTGTTAAATAGGGAATCCTTTCCCTGTTGTTTGTTTTTGTTAGGTTTGTCAAAGATCAGATGGTTGTAGATGTGTGGCATTATTACTGAGGCCGCTGTTCTGTTCCATTGGTCTATATATCTGTTTTTGAATCAGTACCATGTTGTTTTGGTTACTGCAGCCTTGTAGTATAGTTTGAAGTCGGGTAGCATGAAAATTTTTTCATCAAAAATTACTTCCATAAATGTTAATGAGTCTAATCCCACTGTATTTGTACTGATGATTCATATAGATCAACATTAATAAAGCAAGTGTCCAGCAGTGGAGGAAGCATATATGTAAACAAATAAATAATAATGTTGTTACTATATTAAGCAAACAGAATTCATTAAACGGGAACTGTGTTGATGTAGGAAGTTTTTGAAAGTCTTCCAAAAGAAGGCACATTTTAGCTTTCTATAATTGCTAAGCTATATTGAATGTTAAGTATGTAGAAGATGTAGATATAGGCCTTTTTAATGCTCTTTTTAATTGCCACAATAATCCTATAGGTTATTTTATCATTAATTTAAAGAAGGTGACACTGAGCATAATGCTAAACAGCTAGACCAATGACACATTACTAGCACTAATGATACGAGGAATAAGACAAAGACGAAGTGACTCTAGAGTCAAAGATGTTTCACTTTAGGAACATCACAGAAGGACAAATTGTGAGATGGTTTCAAATACGGAATGAAACATTTATTTATTTTTTCATTTAGACCAATATCCCTGATGCACATTGATGCAAAAATCCTCAATATAATAGTGGCAAGCCGAATCCAGCAGCACAGCAAAAAGCTTATCCACCATGATCAAGTGGGCTTCATCCCTGGGATGCAAGGCTGGTTCAACATGAAAATAAATAAACGTAATCCAGCATATAAACAGAACCAAAGACAAAAACCACATGATTATCTCAATAAATGCAGAAAAGAACTTTGACAAAATTCAACAGCACTTCGTGCTAAAAACTCTCAATAAATTAGGTATTGATGGGACATATCTCAAAATAATAAGAGCTATTTATGACAAACTCACAGCCAATATCACACTGAATGGACAAAAACTAGAAGCATTCCCTTTGAAAATGGGCACAAGACAGGGATGCCCTCTCTCACCACTCCTATTCAACATAGTGTTGGAAGTTCTGGCCAGGGCAATTAGGCAAGAGAAAGAAATAAAAGGTATTCAATTAGGAAAAGAGGAAGTCAAATTGTCCCTGTTTGCAAATGACATGATTGTATATTTAGAAAACCCCATCGTTACAGCCCAAAATCTCCTTAAGCTAATAAGCTAATTCAGCAGTCTCAGGATACAAAATCAATGTGCAAAAATCAAAAGCATTCTTATACACCAATAACAGACAAACAGAGAGCCAAATCATGGGTGAACTCCCATTCACAATTGCTTCAAAGAGAGGAAAATACCTAGGAATCCAACTTGCAAGGGATGTGAAGGACCTCTTCAAGGAGAACTACAAACCACTGCTCAAGGAAATAAAGAGGACACAAACAAATGGAAGAACATTCCATGCTCATGGATAGGAAGAATCAATATCATGAAAATTGCCATACTGCTCAAGATAATTTATAGATTCAATGCCATCCCCATCAAGCTACCATTGTCTTTCTTCACAGAATTGGAAAAACTACTTTAAAGTTCATATGGAACCAAAAAAGAGCCCGCATTGCCAAGACAATCCTAAGCCAAAAGAACAAAGCTGGAGGCATCACGCTACCTTACTTCAAACTATACTACAAGGCTACAGTAAACAAAACAGCATGACACTGGTACCAAAACAGAGATATAGACCAATGGAACAGAACAGAGCCCTCAGAAATAATACCACACATCTACAACCATCTTATCTTTGATAAATCTGACAAAAACAAGAAATGGGGAAATGATTCCCTATTTAGTAAATGGTGCTGGGAAAACTGGCTAGCCCTATGTAGAAAGCTGAAACTGGGTCCCTTCCTTACAACTTATACAAAAATTAATTCAAGATAGATTAAAGACTTAAATGTTAGACCTAAAACCATAAAAACCCTAGAAGAAAACCTAGGCAATACCACTCAGGACATAGGCATGAGCAAGGATTTCATGTCTGAAACACCAAAAGCAATGGCAACAAAAGCCAAAATTGACAAATGGGATCTAATTAAACTAAAGAGCTTCTTCACAGCAAAAGAAACTACCATCAGAGTGAACAGGCAACCTACAGAATGGAAGAAAATTTTTGCAATCTACTCATCTGACAAAGGGCTAATATCCAGAATCTACAAAGAACTCAAACAAATTTACAAGGAAAAAAACAACCCCATCGAAAAGTGGGCAAAGGATATGAATAGACATTTCTCAAAAGAAGACATTTATGCAGCCAACAGACACATGGAAAAATGCTCGTCATCACTGGCCATCAGAGAAATGCAAATCAAAACCACAATGTGATACCACCTCACACCAGTTAGAATGGCGATCATTAAAAAGTCAGGAAACAACAGGTGCTGGAGAGGATGTGGAGAAATAGGAACACTTTTACACTGTTGGTGGGACCTTAAACTAGTTCAACCATTGTGGAAGACAGTATGGCAATTCCTCAAGGATCTAGAACCATAACTACCATTTGACCCAGCCATCCCATTACTGGGTATATACCCAAAGGATTATAAATCATGCTGCTATGAAGACACATGCATATGTATGTTTATTGCGGCACTATTCACAATAGCAAAGACTTGGAACCAAACCAAATGTCCATCAACAATAGACTGGATTAAGAAAATGTGGCACATATACACCATGGAATACTATGCAGCCATAAAAGATGATGAGTTCATGTCCTTTGTAGGGACATGGATAAAGCTGGAAGCCATCATTCTCAGCAAACTATCGCAAGGACAAAAAACCAAACACCACATGTTCTCACTCATAGGTGGGAATTGAACAATGAGAACAACTGGACACAGGAAGGGGAACATCACACACTGGGGCCTGTTGTGGGGTGGGGGAAGAGGGGAGGGATAGTGTTAGGAGATATACCTAATATAAATGACGAGTTAATATGTGCAGCACACCAACATGGCACATGTATACATATGTAATAAGCCTGCACATTGTGCACATGTACCCTAGAACTTAAAGTATAATAAAAAATTATTTTTTCATTCCATAAATATTTTACCCTCTCTTAAGCTCCAGGCTCATGGATTTGAAGATATATAAACGTCAAACCTGTCTTACATTCATGGATAAATTCCACTTAGTCATGGTACATAATTTTAACATTTTATTTATTTTATACAATGTTGTATTTAATTCCCAAAGTTTTGTTTAGAATTTTTGCATATGTGTTCACTAAGGATGTTGATATGTAGATCTGTGTTTTATCTGATTTTCTTCTCTTTTTTTTTTTTTCAAATTTTCATATAATGGTAATTTACTAATAGAATGAGTGAGAAGAATACCTTCATTTTAAATCTTCTGGAAGAATTTCTGTATAATTAATATTATTTTTTCTATATTATATTTGTTAGAAATTACAAGGGGAAACATCCAGACCTGGGGTTTTTCTTATGAGAGGATCTTAGCTATAATTTCAATTTATTGTATAAAAGTGTGTTATACAGGTTATTTATTTCCTCTTGAGGGAGCTTTTGCAACTTCTGTCTTTCAATGACTTGTTCATTTAATATAAATTGTAAATTTATTTTCTTGAGGAAGCTTTTACAATTTTTGTCTTTCAATGACTTGTTCATTAATCTAAATTGTTAATGTGTTTTCTTTCATTCTCTATCTCACTTAAGGGAATTAAGTATGTTTTTATATCTATTTCATCTTCAAACTTTTGTTGTGGTTTTTGTAACCTTTAAGACTTATAGTATATACTATCATCAAATTAGTTATAATAGCCCTTTGTTAACCTCTTAATAGCTTTAGAACATGTATTGAAGCCATCGCTCTCATTTTGGATATTAGTCACAGAGTCTCTGTAATTTCTTGTTAGTTGCTCTCATCAACGCTTTGTGAATATATTTTTATTAAGTCAAATAACCAGGATTAACTTCTGATTTTCTGTTTTTCTGTTATTTCACTGATTTACAATCTAATCTTTATCATTTTCTCTTTTTAATTTTGTTTATAATAGACACAAAGAAACTGTACATATTTAAGGGATTGAGAATGGTGTTTCAATCCATGTGTACATTGCAGAGTAATCAAAGCAGAGTAGTGAGCATATCTGTAACCTCAAATCTTTATCATTTCTTTTTGGTGATAATTTTCAAGATCCTCTTTTTTAGCTATCTTGAAATATACAATGCATTGTTAGTTATAGTCATTCTACTGTGTAACAGAACAACAGAACTTATTCTTCCTATTAATCTTTAACTTTGTACTCTTTAACAAACCTCTCCTCATCCCTTTACCCAGACTCGCCCAGACTCTGATAACCATTATTCTACTCTCTACTTCTATGTGATCAGCTTTTAAAGATTCAACATATGAGTAAGATCATGTAGTATTTACCTTTCTGTACGTGGCTTATTTCTCTTAACATTTTTTCTTCCAGTTTTAGCTATGTTCCCATGAATGACAGGTTTTATTCTTTTTATTAATAGTATTCCATTGTGTATCTGTACCACAATTGCTTTATCTATTCATCTTTTGATGAACATTTAGGTTGATTCCATCTCTTGCTATCGTGGATAGTGCTGCAATAAACAGGATGCAGATATCTCAACTTACTGATTTTAATTCCTTTGGATTTATATACAGTAGTGAAATTGCTGGATCATACAGCAGTTCTATTTTTAGTTTTTTGAGGAAACTTCATACTATTATCCTTAATGGCTTTGCTGAAATACATCCTACCAACAATATTTAAGAGTTTCTCTTTCTGATCTTTATCATTTTCTTTCTTCTACTTACCTTGGATTTAGTGTGCTCTTCTTCTTGTAGATACTTAAAATTGAAGCTGCAGTTACCTATTTGAGACCTTCTTCTCTAGTTGAGAGATTTATTGCTATAAAATTTCTTGTAAATACCACAATAGTTAGTGGCTTCTCACAAATTTATATCAAAATTTCTATTTCCACTAACGTTACATTAAAATACCTGTGTTTCACTAACATACTGTTCAAAATACTATCTACTATCCCTTTTTGTTTCTTCTTTAACTTGTGAGTTCTTTAGAAATATTTTATTTGGTTTCCAAATATCTTAGAATTTTACAAATAGCTTTTTAAATTTATTTCTAATCAATAACATTTTCATCGTGATCAGAGAACATATTATGATGTGACTTTAAAAAATCTATTGAGACATGTTTTGTGTCCCAGAATATGATCTGATTTATTATAGTTACAAGTGCACTTAAGAAGAATACATATTCTTCTGTCGTTGGGTAGAGTGTTCTACAAAGGCCAATTACGTAAATAGCTTGATAGTGTTCCTAGCTTCTATATCCTAACTGACTTTCTTTTTTTAATTATACTTATTCCATAATTTATTGATATACTGATATTGAAAACCAAATAAGATTATTAATTATTAAATTTCCCTTTGCAAGTCTATGTCTTATGTATTTATATTTGCTTTATGTGTTTTATAATTCATAAAGACATAAATGTTTAGCATTTTTATGTACTCTTGGGTAATTGATCTTTTTATCATTATGAAATACCCCTTTACCCTGGTGATATTATTTGCTGTTAAATCTACTTTGTCTGATATTAATGTAGCCACACCAGTTTTCATTAGATTACTGTTAGCATGGCATATGTTTTGTCACATTCTTTACTTTTGACCTACTTTTTTTTTCTTTGCATTCAACATAGTCAGCATTATGCTACTACTATTTACCTACAACTGCTATCTATTATATACTACCTAATGTATGTAGGCAGCATACAGTTGGGTCTTGCTTTTCATTCTACCTGACCATCTTTGCCTTTTAATTTAGGTGTGCAGATCATTTATAGTTAAATACATAGGTTTAAGATTATCATCTTACTATTTGTTTTCAATGTTTCATCTCCTTTTTGTTTCCTTCCTCTTATTACTCTCTCCATTTCCTTCCTTCCTTCCTTTTTTTATTTCTTTTTTTATCTCTCTCTCTCAAATAAATTAAGTATATTTTCATATCTATTTCATCTTCAAACTTTTGTTGTGTTTTTTAATCTTTAAGATTTATACTATACATCTTTGTGCTTTGGAACATTCCAGTGGAAGACTGTAGCATCTCAATAGCTGCAGGTAATGTTCTTACACTCAGAAATGTATTAGCTGAAGATATATTTCAAATGTTTATCTTGTTCCATTCATTCAATTGAATACCAGTTTCTGTTAGTTTTATCTATAATCTATACTTTTAGTTATTATTTCAGGTATTATTCCTGCACAATAATTTAATTTCAAACTTTGTGTCCTAATGTTATTGATTGATTTGTGTTTCCTTATTCTCAAATTCATATATTGAATTCTTAATGCCAAGTACTTCATAATGTCACTGTATTTGGAGATAGGGCCTTTAAAGAAGTAATTAAATTAAAGTGAGTCAAGGTTGAACCCTGATTCGGTCTGACTATTGTCCTTGTAAGGAGAGGAGATTAGGACATGCAGAGAAATACCAGGTACATGTGTGCACAGAGGGACAAGCTTATGAAGAGGTAGCGAGAGATCAACTGTCTGCAGACTAAGGAGAGAGTCCTCAGAGAAAACTAATCCTGTCAGCACCTTGATCTTGGACTTCCATCCTAAAGAACTGTAAAAACATAAATTTCTGTTGTATACACCTCCCAGTTTGTGTTAGTTATCAAATCCCTAGCAAACTAATACAATTAGAAAACAACAATTGATTATTTCTCACAACACTAGATAATAAACTTAGAAATTGCTTGCCTGGTAGTTTTCTGCTATGTGTATTCTTGTCTGGGGTCGCTTAAACAGCTGGCAGCTGGCAGCTGGGCTTAACTGAAAAGTCAATCATAATTTTGCTCACATGTCTGGTGCTTTGATATTCCTTCAATTTCCCTTTCTATTTCCATGCGTTTTCTCCCTATTCAGTATTACAATTTAATTTTCTTCAGAGCATGGTCACTGGATTTCCCAGAATGAAAGCATAAGCTACTAGGTATCTAAAGTCACAAACCCTGAACTAGGACAACAGCACTTTCGCCATATTTTCTTGGTTAAGGCAAGTCATCAACTTAGCTAAGAGGCAAGGGCCAGGTGATAGGCTCTACTTGATTGTTGATGTGGCATTACAAGGAGAGAAGGAATGTATGGTGGTGTTCTTTAAAAACTATGTTACACAATCACACTTTTCATTTATTTTCTTTGTGCATAGCAACATTTAATGCTATTTCTAAAGAAGACTCAAGAAAAATATATTATTCTCCATTTACATAAAAAGCATTCCAAATTTAGTTATTTAGAAATGCTAATTCCTGAAGTAGCAGCACACATTATTAATACTCTAGTAGTTCATTCCAGAAAATTCTAGGATGTTAAACAATTAAGACTCACTCTCTAAGTATCTCTTCACATAAAACCTCACCATTCAGTAGGTAACATGTTTGTCATTTCTGATCTTTTTCCTCTGTTGTGATGTGAAGCTTAGTTTATATTTCTCTCTTATTTGCAACCCACCCACATAAAAATAAATTGTCCTTTTTTCTTTCACTTTTAGTTGTCATGTAACAATTGTACAAATTTATGAAAACACTGAGTGATATTTTCCTACATGCATACCATGTGTAATGATTAAATCAGGATAATTAGCATATCCATCGCTTAAAATATTTATCATTTCTTTTAGTGAACATTCAAAATCCTCTCTTCTAGCTTTTTGAAGTTATACAATAAATTATTGTTAACTATGTTCATGCTGGAGTGCTATAGACCATTAGAACTTATTGCTTCTTTCTTGCTTTAATTTTGTGTCTGTCAATCAATGTCTCCCTGCCCTCCCCTCCTCCCTACCCTTCCAAAACTCTAATAACCACAATTTTATTCTCTATTTCTGTGAGATCAAATTTATTTTTGCACCCCCATAAGAGTGAGAACATGGATACTTATCTTTCGGTGCTTGAATTATTTCACTTACTATGATGTCTTCCAGGCTTATCCATGTTATCACAAACAATGGGATTTCAAGCATTTTTATGGTTGAATATTATTTCACAGTGTGTGTGTATGTGTGTGTGTGTGTGTGTTTGTGTGTATTTTTTCTTAACATCACATTTTTCCATCCATTCATCTGTTGATAAATATTTAGGTTTGTTTCCTATCTTGGCTACTGTGAATAGTGCTGCAATAAACATGGAAATGCATATATATCTTTGATATACTGATTTCCTTGTCTTTGGATAAATATCCAGTTATAGGATTTCTGGGTTATATGGTAGTTATCTTTTAATTTTTTTAGAAATCTCCATACTGTTTTCCATAATAAATGTACTAACTTACATTCCAACCAACAGTGTATAAGAGTTCTCTTTTCTCTGAATCCTAACCAGTATTTGTTATTTTTTGTCTTTTTGATGATAGCCGTTCTAACCAGGGTGAAACATTCTCATTATGGTTTTAATTTTCATTTCCCTGATAACGTGATGTTGAGCATTTTTTTCATATATTTGTTGGTCATTTGAATGTCCTTTTTTAAGAAATGTCTATTCAGATCACTTGCCTACTTTTAAATTAGATTATTGGTTTTTGTTGTTGTTGTCGTCACTGTTTTTGCTGTTGAGTCCCATATACATTCTGGATATAGGTTCTTTATTGGATGGATAGTTCGCAAATGTTTTCTTTTATTCTTCAGACTGTCTCTTCACTCTGTTGATTGTTTCCATTTCTGAGCAGAAACTTTTTAGTTTGATATAGTCTCATTTGTCTATTTTTAGTTTTGTTGCCTATGCTTTTGAAGTCTTGCCAATAAAGTATTCACACAGTCCTGTGTCCTAAATCACTTCTGCTATGTTTTTTTCCTAGTAGTTTTATAGTTTGGGGTATCATATTTGTCTTAATTCATATTGAGTTGATTTTTGTATATGGTGGTATACAGTAGTCTAGTTTCTTTTTTGCATATTTATATCCTGTTTCTCAGTACCATTTATTGATAAGGCCACCTTTTTCCAATGTATGTTCTTGGCACCTTTGTCAAAAATTAGTTGAGTATCAATACATAGATTTATTTCTGCATTCTCTATTCCATCCCATTGCTTTCTGTGTTTTTATACCAATAGCATCATGCTTTGGTTACTATAGCCTGTAGAATATTTTGAAAACAGGTGGGGTGATGCTTTCAGCTGTGTTATTTTTGTTAAGTATTGCTTGAACTATTCAGGGTCTTTTGTCACTCCATACAAATTGTAGGATTCCTTTTTATTCTAGTTATTTGAAAGATGCCATAGGTATTTTGACCGGGATTGTATTGAATCTGTGCATTGCTTTGGTTAGTATCTCATTTTAACAATATTAATTCTTCCAATTCATGAGCGTGGGATGTCTTCTGATTTGTGTGTGTGTGTGTGTGTGTGTGTGTGTGTGTTTCCCCTTAGATTTCTTTCATCAGCGTTTGTAAAGGTTTTCATCTCTTTGAGCAAATTTACTTTTAAGTATTTTATTTCATGTACCTATTGTAAATCAATTGCTTTATTTTTCGGCTAGTTCATTATTAATGTACAGAAACATTACCGATTTTTATATGCTGATTATGTATTCTACATCTTTACTGAATTTGTTTATCTGTTCTAAGAGTCTTTGGTGGAGTCTTTAGGTTTTTCTATATTTAATATCATATTATCTACAATGAAATAGAATTTTGTCTCATCCTTTCTAATTTAAAATCCTCTTATTTCTTTCTCTTGCCTAATTGCTCTATGATTTCCAGTACTATGTTGAATAAGAGTGGTAAAAGTGACCATCCTTATCTTGTTCAAGTTCTTAGATACAAAGCTTTTAGCTTTTCGCTGTTAAGTACAATGTTAGCTGTGCATTTGTTATATACCCCCCTCATTGTGTTAAGGAATGTTCCTTCTGTATCTAATTTATTGAGAATTTTTGTCACAAAGGATATTGAATTTTATTGAATTCTTATGCTGCATCTATGGAGATGATCATCTGTTTTTTGTTCTTCATCATGTTTATGTAATGCAATAAATTTACTGGTTTGCGTATGTTGAATAATCTTTGCATCACTGGGATAAATCTCACTTGTTCATGATGTACTTTTTTTTTATGCTGTTGGATTCAGTTTGATTGCCCATATTTTGTTGAAGATTTTCCTATGTTCACCAAGGATATTGACCTGTAGTTTTATTTTTGCTGTGTCCTTATCTGGTTTTGTTATCAGGGTAATGCTGGCCTCATAGAATAAAAAGGAATCCCTCCTCTTAGCTTTATGAGAGTTTGAGAACTGCTATAAATTATTCTTTAACAGTTTGATAGAATTCAATCGAAATGCCATTTGGTATTGGGCTTTTCTTTGTTGGGAGCCTTCTTATTTCTGATTCAGTTTTGGTACTTGTTCTGTTAGGTTTTCTATTTATTTTTGGTTAGTCTTGAAAGATTATATGTATTATCCATTTTCTCTACATTTTCAAATTTGTTGGTGTATAGTTGTTCATAATAGTTTCAAATAATCTTTTATATTTCTGTGGTATCAATTGTAATGTTTACTCTTTAACTTCTGATTTTGCTTGGTTCTCTCTCTCTCTCTCTCTTTTTTTTAGACTAGCTGATGGTTTATGAATTTGTTTATGCTTTCAAAAAGCCAACTTTTTGTTCTGTTGATATTTTCTATTTTTTACCTCTATCTTGTTTACTTCTTCTCTGGTCTTTATTATTTATTCCTTTATATGAATTTTGGGCTTGGTTTGTTCTTGCTTTCTTTCTACCCTTTTCATGTAGGGATTTATCACAGTAAAATTCCCTCTCAGTACTGACTTAGCTATATCCCATAGGTTGTAGTGTGTTCTGTTTCTATTTTTATGTGTTTTAATTTCTAAATTTCCTCTGAATTTCTTCATGGACAAGTTTGTCCTTCGGGTATATGTTGTTTAATTTTTTATTTACTTGTACAGTTTCTAGTTTCTCTCATTATTAATTTCTAATAGTATTGCACTGTGGTCTGAGAAGACACATGACATAATTTTAACTTTAAAAATGTCATTGAGATTTGTTTTATGGCCTAACGTATTATCTTTCTTGGACAATGTTTCATATACTGTTGAAAATAATGCAGATTCTGCAGCTGTTAGATGAAATGCTCTGTAAATATCTGTTAGGTCCATTTGGTCTATGGCACAGTTTAAGTCTAAGGTTTATTTGTTGATTTTCTTGTTAGATGATCTTTCTAAAGCTAAAAGTCAGATATTGTAGTGCCCAGCTATTATTGTATTGGAGTTGATATCTCTCTATGGCCCTAGTAATACTATTTTTATATATCTGGATGCTCTGTGTGTTGGGTTCATATACCTCAACAATTTTTACATCCTCTTTGTCCATGACCTTTTTTCTCTATTTTTATATTTTTCTTTTTTTTATTATTATTATACTTTAAGTTTTAGGGTACATGTGCACAATGTGCACGTTAGTTACATATGTATACATGTGCCATGCTGGTGTGCTGCACCTACTAACTCGTTCTTTTTATATTTTTCAACTTAAGGTATATTTTGTCTAAGTGCAGCCACTCCTGCATTTCTTTGGTTTCCATTTGTGGAGAATATCTTTTTCCATTCCTTTACTTTCAGTCTATGTGTGTTTTTCTGAGCAAAATGAGTATCTTTTAGGCAGTCTATAGTTGGGTCATAATTTTTTATTCATTCAGCCAGTCTGTATATTTAACTGGAGAATTTACATTATTCACTTTCAAGGTTGTTATTAAGTGTTAAGGATTACCACTTTCATTTAGTTAATTGAACTGTGATTGTTTAGAATATCCTTTTTTCCTCTCTTCCTCTCTAATCATTGATATTTGCAGTGTGGTGGGGTTTTCTTTAACAATAATGTTTGATTCCTTTCTCTTTCTTATTTGTGTATCTGTTCTTTCATTGAAACACAAAAATGTAAAACTCATATCTTTCTGTGGCATCTCTAATTACATACAGCAAAACATATAAAATGGGTGTTTATTTCTGACATTTATAATTCAAAACTTTGGTAAAAAGCTACACTTAAAAATTTTACTTGAGATAACAAAAAATAACTAACATCAGAAATTTCTTATAAAAATAATAAATACGATTTTATTTTAAAGTGCTGTATATTGTATGAATGAACAATTTAGAAGAGAAAAGTAGTTCTTCTGAATTGCTACATCCATTATTTTACAGCATGAATGTTTTCTTTAAAAAGTGAAACTACCGAATAAAACAAAAAAGGCTACATCTCCTCTAAAATTTTGTCATATTTTGTTTATGTCTAACAGAAAAAAAAGACAAGTGAAAGTTACAGACTTCCTTCAATAATAAGAATTAAAATACAATCAAAATGTTTAAATAGTATTAAGAGTCCAAAATTTAAAACAATACACTTCCATAATATTCTCTCTTAAGACAATATTTAATGAAATGAGGCACTGAAATGAGAAATAGCCTGTGAATTCTTTTTGTTTTTTAGAACTAATCTTTAAATATTGAAAACACATCAAGATAAACATAAAATATACAAAATTTGTAGCTGCTGCTCTCAAATACTTGACCCCTAATGCTCTGTACCTCCCAAGCGCTACAGAATACAGAAAAGCTCTATAGATGTTTCCAGGAAAAAAAAATAGTTTTATTTATTGACAGTAACTATAAACCCAAGTCATAATGAATATTAAGTATATAAGAATTTAATCTTGGAGGTAGTTTAAGAGAATCATTATCATTATTGTTGTTATTATTATTTTCTAAATGACCTGAATTCTTAATTAATAATTAAACTAGGCATGTATTGGGTTTTATAATTTATATGTTATTTAATCATTTGTTCAATGATATATGTGGCTGCTACAATGTTAAGAAAAATCATATTTGTCTTCCATGCTATTTTAACTGAGGTAATCTTGACATTACGTTAGTTAATACCATCTGTGTCAAAGAAAAAGCCTATAAAATAAGAAAAGACAAGTTACTAAATATAGAGTATTGCAGCTATTTCACAAGGTCAGGTGATTGAAAGGACTCTTAATACTTCATAGGATGTATTCATATCCATATAAAAGTTGAATAAAGGTAAATAATATGGTATAGGAAGAGAAACAATGTATGCATAATCATCAGGGGCCTTTGTCATCCTGGTATAGTTACCTAGAGTCTTTTTTTAATTGTATAACATACGCTTAGTATTTAGATTATGAACTCCAAAATAATAGGCAAGGAAGATTGGTTCAGGAAAGCCAAACTCAACATTTACAGTGGGGCCTTTTATAGCCTATTGGTCACATAGACAAATCTGGCTGTACAGCCAGTTAAATCAGGTTTATACCATCAATCTTTATATTCTTAACATGGAAAAGCTAGCCGTAATTCCCTGAAGAAGAGCTTCAAACTTTAAAAGCATATCAATTAATCAATTGTTATTCCTTCTCATACTCATTTTGATCAAAGTTTAGCTTTAGCCTTTTAATTTGTGTCCTGGATAAAGAAAGAGAAACTTAGACTGGGACAACATTTGAGGACATATTTACTGAGACCTTCCTTCCAGAAATTACAAAGGAAAGCAATTCAAAAGACATGAGTCCAACAAATTCTGAGTAGGATTCATATGATTTTTTTTAAAATCAACTTGAATACAAATCACAGTAAAACCAAAAGGTCATGAAAAACTAGAACAATAGATCATTTAAAACAGAGAAAAAGATTATTTTCAAAGTAGCAATATTTATTGACAGAAGACTTACCAATAACTGCAACAAACTTCAGAAGAAAATGGAATGTGTTGAAGGAAAATAACTTCCATATTCAAATTTTATGCCCAGCAAAATGGCTTAAGAATAAAAATAAAATTATTTCCACAAAAAACAAACATGAAAAAAATTAAACTGAGTGTAACACTACCAAAATCATAAAGGCAATTATTAAGGACACAACTCAGACAAAATGAATGTCATCCTAGAGAGTACGTCTATGATGGGACAACTTCTGAGGTACAAAGAAAATGGTAATTACATGAGTGAATCTAATATGCACCAATGTTTTAAGCAGTACTAATAATTTATAACATATAACAATACTTTTTTTTTAATTGACAAAATAACATGGAAGTCAAGAACTAGGTAAGCAGAGTGCAATTACTTTAGGGTCCTAGTATTTGTGCAATTGCTGGATAGATGAAGGGATTATATTCAGATTTGATAAATTATATTTTCACATTATAATCTATACGAACATATTTTAAATGGTTAAGAACATCATATGTGACTCCCAATTATAGAAAACCACAATATATTCAAAGAATTACAAGAAAGGAGAGAAAAATAAATATGAATAAATGCAGTTCAAAAGTGTAGGAAAAAAAGATAAATATTAATTATTAAATATGTCAATGATTACATTGAACATAAACTCAGTATTTTAAAAGCAAAAGGTGTCAAATTTGACTAACGAATCCAAGCATACGCTTTTATAAGACACAGTTCAATCATAAAGACAAAGAATATTTTTAAAAAGCAGAAAAAATTTAACGGTGGCTCACGCCTGTAATCCCAGCACTTTGGGAGGCCAAGGAGGCAGATCACGAGGTCAGGAGATCGAGACCATCCTGGCTAAAACAGTGAAACCCCGTCTCTACTAAAAATACAAAAAATTAGCTGGGCGTGGTGGCGGGCGCCTGTAGTCCCAGCTACTCGGGAGGCTGAGGCAGGAGAATGGCGTGAACCCGGGAGGCGGAGCTTGCAGTGAGCCGAGATCCAGCCACTGCACTCCAGCCTGGGCAACAGAGCAAGACTCCGTCTCAAAAAAAAAAAAAAAAAAAAAAAAAGGCGGGGGTGCGTAATTTTAAAAAACTACTCAAAGGAAAGTAATTACTGCAGCCATAATATAATCTTGCAAAACAAATGCTAAGGGGGAAAGTTGTTCTAGGCATAAAGAATTTCATTTATAAAGATTAAATATTTAATTTTCCAGAAAGCTAAGTCCATTTTAATTTCATATACATCGTTAATAGAGGATTCATCTTTATAAAGGAAGTTTTCAAAACTACACATAGAAATAGACAAGACTAACATAATAGTGAAATATCTTAAAGTACTGCCCCAATAATTGAGGTATACAAAATATCAATAAGGATATTGAAAACGGAAACAAAATTATTGAGTCTGACATTTATTGGATATATCCGTAAAGAACACCATACCTCAAAACTGCAGACTAGAAATGTTTTCCAAATAAAGCAAGTTTCAACAAATTCTATATATTTGACATAATACACCATATATCTCTGACAATAATGCAATTAAGCTAGAAATCAAAACAATGACACTAACAATAAAAATTTAGACAACTTTCATGCTTGAAAATGTAAAAACACATTTCTCAATGATCTATGATTGAATAAACAATTAAATATATGTGTAACTTGACTTTTGCTTCAACTAAGTTTGTAGAAAGCCACAGGAGAATGTCACTTCTACCCTAACAAGCTCTAGCTACAAAAATGTACAAAATCTAGACTCCATCTAAGAGCTAGCTAACAAGGTAAATCGAATTCCAAACATCACAGTGGCAAGTTCCTCCAAAGAGAGAGAACACAAACACTATTCCACCTTTGACAGACTTCAAAGAGAGAGGGAACTGCCATAAAGCAGATAACAAGAAAATGACTGAATGTTTACCAAGACCTGAAAGGCTGAGCATTTTGTCCAGACATAACCAGTCTGTACTCATCAGCGCTTTTCTATTGGCTTTTGCAGAGCACTGATGAGAAGATGGAGAAGGACAGGAAAAAGACAGATTCAACCTGTGGCAGAGAGACACCACATAGATTTTAGTTTCTCTATTCCTGGAATTTCACTTTGCCCCAGCTCCCCACGAAGACCAGACAAAGACTTACTGTCTCTGGAAAAGGAGTAGAAGCAAAAAGGCAATGCTACTGGAGGAGGCCCAGAAAAGCGCTTCCTGCATGTGCTCCTGCTTGAGTCCTAAATTGCACAAGGCAGATTTTTATTACCTTGGACTTTTGGGTCTGTGTAGGGTGGGGATGAGTGGTAGGCAGGAAAGCTAATAAGGCTTTGAAAGTAATCCCAGGTGCATAAGGCCCGTCTGAGACCCGAGGCTGAAGGAGAACAGGGAAAGCTCCCCTCTACCTTAATCTTTACATCGCACCTTAAATATTTGTAAAACACATATCCAACTAAGGACTTGAAGCCAGATTATCTAAAGAACTATTACAAAAATAATAAAAATAACAAAATATTAAAAACTCAATACAAGGTACCAAGATTTGATTGGCTGCTCCCTCACAAATGATGCATAAACAGATACAAGCACATGAAAACATACTTCATATCTTGCATTAAGAAAACCCAAGTGAAATCAATGGGATAGTGCTACAGGCTTACTTGAATGGCTAAAATTAAAAAAAAAAAAAAGATTACCAATGTGAATACTGAGGAGGAGGTAAAGCAACTGGAACTTTTTAGACACCATCGGTGTAAATGCAAGTAGTACAACTACTTAGGAAGACACCACAGTTTCTTGAAAAATTTAATACATAGCTCTCAATATAACCCAGGCATTTTACTTCTAAGTATTTACCCAAGAAAAATGAAAACATACCTTTACACAAAGGCCTCTATTTGTATCAACTTTCTCATAATCTATTATAAACAATTTCCAGACTAGAAATAAATGAACAAATTGCAATTATCTATTTAATGGAATAGTGTTAACTCATTAATAAAATTAATATGCAACAACAACGATCTTATAACTGAAAGAAGACAGAGAAAAGGCTACATAGTAGATGCTTCATTTATATAACATTCTGAAAGTGGCAAAGAGCAAGGGAAATGAATCAAATCAGGAGTTGCCAGTGGCTAGAGATTAGGGGACACTATGGACTATCCAGGGCACCAGGGACCACTTTAAAGTTCAGGAAACATTTGACATCTTCAAATGGGTAGTCACATAGCTACATATTTGAGAAATTTATTGAATTATATACTTAAAAATTATGAACTTAATTGCATTTAAATTGTACCTCAATAAAACTGACTCTTAAAAAACTGTATTGAGGAGGATCTTGATATAAATTTGTTTGATGTGATTATATAGATGGGAAACATTGGCATATTCTATTAATATCAGTGTATTTCAATATTCTATTAAAAATTCTGATTCTGACACTTCAAAAATATGTTGAATTAAAGAATAACGAAAATCCAAATTTTATGTCACAAGATGCAGATATAGCAATGAGTAGAACAAAGGAATAGCCTTAAAATGCATATGCTAGAGAAGAAATGAGCTAATTGTCTGTCTCAAGATATTAGAAAAAAAATAGCAAAGTAATCTCAAGAGATTAGAAGCAAAGAAATAATAATCACACAAGAAATGATGTAGAAAACACTCATAATAGAGAGAATCAATAAACTTAAAATTTGGTTCTTGAACAGACTTACCAAATTCGAAATGGCTGTTAAAATGGATTAGAAAAGAAAGAAAGAGAACACTAGTCAAAAATAACTTAATCTAGTCAACACTGCAGACACTATATACATTGAAAATATAAGTAGTTGTGAATAACTTTTTAATGGATCTATTCTCCAGTACAATAAAATTTATCAATATTAAGTGTTTTGCTAATTTTATACAACCATATTAGCACTAATGCAATCAATAAATAGGAATCAATAAATAGAAAACACTTCAGCCTAAAAGATTTCCTCAAGCTCCTTTACATAGATCCTCTCCTCCACACCCTGCCTTAACTATCCACTAATCTGCTTTCTGTCAGTTTTGCAGTTCTAAAATTTCTATAAATGGAATCATACAGAAATTTCATTTTATTTGGTTTATTTCAATTAATGCAATTTTTATAATGTAATGTTAATCTATGTTTTCTGTACATTAATATTTAATTTCTCTTTTAGCTGAATAATATTTTATGCCATGGATAAATTCAAATGTATCTGTTCACCAATTGGGTTTCTTCCAGTTGAGGGCTGTGACAAAGAATATTGTTGTAAACTTTTGTGTATGTGTGTCTTTGCTGAATTGTTTTCTGTTGTGTTTGTCCCTAGCACTAGAATTTTGCTAGAACACAGTAAGGTTTATTACATATCTTTGAAATTAATTATGCTCCTAAAGTGGCATAGCATACAGAAAAAAATGAGAGGATATTTTTCTAAAAGACAAAGAGAGCTTGCTGACTGTTCCAATGACACTTTGCATTTCCTTAGGTGAGTCACTTAAAACCTCAATTCAACCTCCACTTGTCAAATGAGAAAAATAATGAGTCCCTGCCTCGGAGGGATGATGTGAGGATTTATGACATTATACTGTGCATAAAATTGCTCTGTGCTTCTAGCAAAAAGAATGCAATTTAAATACAACAAATTATTTTCATATTTTATATCAGCTTGCATCTGTTTTTGTTGTGGTCTGATTAAATCAGTTTTAACAAAAGTTAAAAAAATTCTAGTGCTTTTCTAATGTTATATAATAATCCTAATGACTCTGAAAAAAAGTACATCCTGAAGCTAAGTCAATAATTACACAGTAAAATTGTTTTACAATTGAAATAATACTAAACATGTCCAAAAAATATTTCCATAATTCATAAACCTCAGCTTCTTACTGTGACCTAGAGGTCTTGTTGTATATAGAACAAAATGACTCCTGCAGGCCACGCTTGCTGTATATTTGTATGCATACAAAATAATCCTTGAGAAGTGCATTAGTTAGATGTATGGCATAATTGCATATAATTGAATTCACATGCTTCTCTGCAATAAAGTGGAAATGTCCAAAAAACAAGTTATACATTAATTTTCTTTTAGTTACAATGATAAATTGGAACTTCATTTTAGCACTAAATAATCTTCTGCAGCCTAAAAGATGGCCAATTGGAAGGGAAAGAGAAAGAGAAAAATATCAGTTAGAAGTGATTTGGATCACAGCAAATAGTATGGTTGGAGAATATTAAAGTTCGAGCATCTTAAAATTATAATAGCTGAAATTTAATAGAATATAGACACAACTTTGGATAATTAAAAGTGGAGATGGTAGATATAGCAAACAGTAATGGTATTAAAATATACATTGTGGATTCACAAAAATACTGAAATCATGAGAATTTCAACAGATTGCACATTAACTATAGTCACACATCACATAATAACATTGTGGTGAATGGTGAACCACATACACTTATGAAGCTATTTACTTTGTAGCTGTCATAATGTCATAGAGCAAGACATCACTCAGGTGTTTGTGGAGATGGTATAAATAAACCTACTATGCTGTCAGTCATATAGATGTATGGAACATACGATTACGTACAGTACCTAATACTTGATAATAACAATAAATGACTATGTTACCAGTTTATATATTTACTATAATACACTTTTTATCATTATTTGGAGTGTACGCCTTCTACTTATTAAAAAAAAAAAAAGTCAACTGTAAAACAATCTCAGGCAGGCCCTTCAGAAGACTTTCCAGAAGAAGGCACTGGTATTATAAAGGATGACAGCTCCATGCATGTAATTTCCCCTGAAGACTTTCCAGTGGTAAAACATGTGGAGGTAGAAGATAGTGATATTGATGTTCCTGACCCTGTGTAAATCTAGACTAATATGTGTGTTTGTGTCTTCATTTTAAACAAAATTTAAAAAGTAAAAAAAAAAATTAAATTAAATTAAAAATAGAAAAAAGCTTATAAAGTAATGATATAAAAAATATTTTTCTAAAGCTATACAAAATGTGTTTTAAGTTAAGCATTATTTAAAAAGTCCCAAAGTTAAAAAAAGAAAAAGTTAATAAAGCAAAATTTTTAGAGTAAGCTCAGATTAATTTATTACTGAAGAAAGAAATTTGTAAATACATTTAATGTAGCCTAACTAGGCAGTGTTGATAAAGTCTGCAGTAGGGTACAGTAATGTCTTAAGCCTTCATATTCACTCACCACTCATTCACTGGCTCACTCAGAGCAACATCCAATCCTGCAAGCTCCATTCAGTGTAAGTGCCCTACACAGGTGTACCATTTATTATCTTTTACACAGTATGTTTACTGCCACTTTTCAATGTTTAGATACACTAATATTAACATTGTGTTACAATTGCCTACAGTATTCAGTATGGTAACATGCTGTACAGGTTTGTAGTCTAAGAGAAATAGGCTATACCATTTAGCTTAGATGTTTAGTAGGCTATGCCAGCTAGGTTTGTGTAATTAACACTCTATGATGTTGACCCAATGACAAAATCCCCTACCAACACAGTTCTCAGAATGTGTCCCTGTCATTAAGCAATGCATGACTATAGAAAGCAAAATTAACATAGCAATTATATTCACTAAAATGCAATTAAAATAATGGCTTACACTTATGTTAAATCAGTATGGCTTCATTTATATTAAAGGAATTCAGCTCATAAATTTACTAGAGCAATGTTTCTTAGTAAAAGTTACACATTAAAATCACCTGGGAAGTATCCCCCCAAATTACCAATGTCTAGACACCACCTGGGATATTAGAATAATTTGATTCACAGTGGGGCACAGGTATCAGTAATTTTTAGCACCCTCTCCCCATTGAAATACGTAGGATGGTAGAATCACAGAATACTGGAGATAGATTGAACTTTAAAGAAAACACGACTTGACATTCTCCTGTGATTTATGTTTCACGATTAAGTCCCATGATACTTAAAGTGGTGCTTAAAGTTATGTAGTGTAAAGGTGACTCAGCCATAAAGAAAATGGAGCTCATATTCAGGAGTCAATTTACCTGAAATCAAACCAATATTGAGTGGTAAAACTAGATTAACAGCCAAGATCCTGGTTTCAAAATCTTTACACTTAATCTTCTGGCACTACCTAGTCTCTTAATAATACATCTTAATTTGGGCACTTAATTGATGAAACTAATAAAAACATTGCTAGACTAAGAATTTCTTAGATCTTTGAAATGATTCATGTTAAAAACAAACTTTTTCAAAACCAAAAGGTGAATAACAATAAGTAAGAACCATTCATAAAATATCTTAGAATAGTGCATTTGACATTATGAGCAGGTCACTGTAAAGAGACAAATAATAATGATCAAAGATAAAAAGATCTATCCCGAAAAATTCATGAGAGTGTCAATGTGTTTGAATGCTATCATAAATCACTGCATTGCTTCTTATTCTTGGAAAGTATCACCTCACAGAACAAGAAGCTGAAAGTCAGGGGGAAAGAAAAAAGAAAGAGAGAGGGAGAGAGGGAGGGAGGAAGGAAGGAATTAGATTTCACCCCAAAGTCACCTAAAAATATAAATATTTTCATTTTTATACCATCTGGCTATAGATGGTGCTATGCCATAGTTAGATCTTTTATCAGGTAAAGACCCTGGTGAGCGTTTTCCCTAAGGGAGTGAGGATTAAATAGGAAAATGTCAGTGCCCTATTCAGATAACACCAATTTGCTGGGAAATCTGATAGCATTTTAAGCACGTGGCATTGAGAGGAGCTGCTATGTATGCTGTTTTATTAAAAAAAGAAAAAAGACCAAATCAATATTACAGCAAGATGGGAAGAAGATTATAAAAGAAAACCAAGAAGTATACACGATAGTGAAATGAATACTTGACCAATATATATTGAGTTTATCTCAATTTTTAAAGAATAAGAATGCAAGCTATTAAAGGTGGCAAGAAACCTGTATAGGGCCAGGCACTATGGCTCATGCCTGTAATCACAGCAATTTAAGAAGCTGAGGTGGGAGGATCCCTTGAGGCCAGGAGCTCAAGACCAGCTTGGGTAATTAAGCGAGACCTCATTACTTCAAAAAAATAAAAGTAATTAGCTGTGTGTGGTGGTGCACACCTGAAGTCTCAGTTACTTGGGAGGCTGATGCAGGAGGATAGCTTGAGCCCAGGAGTTCAAGGTTTCAGTGAGCTATGATTGCGCTTCTGTGTTCCAGTCTGTGTGACAGAGGAAGACCCTGTCTCAAAACAGAAAAAAAAAAAAAAAAAAAAAAAAAAAAAAACAAGAGGAAAAAATAAACAAAACCTGACTCTCCCTGCAATTTGCAATCTGAGTTTGTCAGCATCTACTCAGGTCGAATTCTTATAAATTTAGGTCTCTGCTGCTGCAGCTATTGCCCTGGATCAAGCAAAAATATTCCAGGAGGCTGTGGTATCTCCTCCTTCCTTTAATCCTCTGGATACTCATCAACCTGCTGAGGTTGCTCCATGCAGAAGGATGTCTAAGAGGGTCAGATTTCAGGTCAATGTTCTGGCTTCATCGCTTTAATGCACAATATCCAAAACAGTAATATGAGCAGTTGCTAATGCTTGAGAAGAAGTAACTCACAAGGCAGATTTGCTTCATTAATTATCTGCTATTGAGCTGTTGAAGTACAAGAACATGAGCTGTGGCTCAACCATTGCTCCCCGCTGTGGAGTATGTCATGATTTTAAGAGTAGAAGTAGGAGGAAGAGCCTGAGTGTGTGGTTAATAATGCATTAAATAGAGGTGTTGTGTCCTTGCTACCTATGCTTTCTATGCCAAATAGGATAAGAAAAATGTATTGAAACCAAGAAGGGATAAGAATAACAATACAAAAAGGGAATGGCAAAAGGACAAGGAATGTAAACTGTTAGTGAAAGCATACTCTCTATGAAGAATCTTTTGAAATAATGCAAAATTCCTCAGGCAGTAAGTCAAAATAAATCAATGTTTCTCAACAGAGGAGTGATGCTCTCTCAGGGTATTTTTCAAAGGCTTTTTTGCTGTTGTTGTTACCAGACCTGAATAGGTGCTAATGGCATCCAGTTGTTAGAGACCAAAGTTCTTCTAAGTATCGAACAATTCACAACACAGTCCATAACAACTAGGAATTATCTCATCCAAAATGCTAATACTGCTGAGGTTGAGGAAACCTGGTATAAAGTAAATTATTATATGACAGGTGGTAATAAAATTCTTTTAAAGAATAATCACATTCAAAAGAGTTATTTCAGAAAATTTAGCATGGAAAAGTGCCATGCAGAAATGTATTTTCTACCAAATGAGCCTCTATCGTATTATACAATCTGCCTGGGTGTATAAGTTTCATACATTTTTAATACTGAAATTTAAATGCACAAGTTTTAAGGAAATGTAAAACAAGTCCACTGACCTTAATTTTTATCTTCTACTTTGCCATTTCTATAAATTTTAGTCTATAAACTTATGCCTGGCCTCAATTGACATGAGGGCTACAAAGGCTATGAACAGTTTCTTTTGATATTTATACTTTGAAATTAAATGTAAGTGGTCTCAAATTTGATAAAGAATTTAGCTTTATCAAATAAGAACTATTACCTGGAAAAACCACCAGTTTCTCAGTCTCTTCTAACCACACTTCTTGTAACTAACTCATAGAAACAAAAATCTGCATGTATTTTGCATTCTTATGTCCGTTTTCTTGTGTCATTTCACTCTTACTTTCTAAGTCCTCCACAAAAAAAAAAAAAAAAAAAGTGTGTGCCTGCCACTTTGCTAACTATAGCTACTTCTACATAATTGCCACCATTTGGGGTCATCCTGTACTATTCTCAAAACTGCTCTGTTGTGGTACCTTTGTCTGGAATTCTGGAATTAAAATCTGCTGTGACTGTAAATGTCAAAATGGAAATATTTAAGAAAAAAGGAACAAACCATTCTCAACAAAAATGGGTCAAGATAACACTGACACTCTCAAGTGGGTAATTAAGTTAATTTTCTGTATCATTCAAGCCCAAACTATAAATTTAAATAAAACATACAATTAAACATTATTTAGCACATTTTCTGTACAAATAATGTATAATATGCTTCGCAGTATAATAAGATAATCAATACACAGTCTTTCTCAACTCTAGAGGCAGAATGCTGGTTTGAAATCCAGATTTATGTTCAAGTCCAAATTGTTTAACCTCTTCAAGCTTTAGTTTCAACATTTGTAAAATGGAAATAGTCACAGTACATATGTTTATTTTATTTTATTTTTTGGTGGTAGTGAGGATAAAATGCTTAAAATAATCAATGGCATGCAACAAACCATCAAAAAAATGCTATTTTATAAATACAATTTTACTAAGTGAGAAGGAAGTTCCAGATTCATAGAACAGTATAAGCAAAAGTCCAGAAATAGAGAAGTTCAGGCTATGTCAAAAAATGATGAATGATAGTGAACTTGTAAATGCAGGATTCGTTAGAAGATACAGTCAAATTCTAAGCAGAAAAGTGAAGATATGGCCAAAATACCCAAGAGGTTTGAATGCCATGCTAATGAGTTCACATTTGGTAGTGTGCATGGGTGGAGGGGAAGCTGGGTATGTGTGGGTGGTGGGAGGCATAATTAAAGTTTTGAATGAAGACTTTAGGTTTTGAAAAGAAACTCCAATCGCAGTGTGAAGTCTATATTGGAAGATAAAAATTGTAGGATGGAGAACTTAGGAACCATTTCCATAAATTAGGTAAGACATAGTAATGTCTGAACTAAAGTAATGGGATTAATAATGGAAAGGGTTGATATTGGCAACATTAGAGGGGAAAAATGAACAAATTGTTTTGCTTGTGTGAGTAGGGTGGTATGGAGAGTCAGCCCTCTGTATTGTTTAGCCTATATTTTCTATTGTTCCCTGCCAATACGTAGTCCCACATTCTCCAGAAATAGTAGATGTGAACTCTGAAATTACACGGGTCTTCTCTTGGTATCCAAAAGTCTGCATAAACTCTGTTTTGATTGCCTACAAAGAGACAGGTTTTTTTCATCATCTCAAGAGAAATATTGAAAAATTACAACTAGTCTGTCTGTTATGTTTCTGGGCACATATAGACCTTGCTCTTTTGGCTCACGGCCTATTAGAGGTTGTTAGGGAACATAAACAATGCTTAGCCAAGTTATAGATGAAGTATCTGAAAATGTGACACGATTTCCCAGTGCAGAGGTACAAAGGTGATCCCTTTCCGTCTCATCATAAAGGTCACAGCCAATACTCCTATAATAAAAGACAGGTAGCCAAAAGAAAAACACAACAAATTAACATAGTCATAGTATTACATGACATGGGAGACTTCAGAAATTAAGACCTAAAGATACAGGGAAAAAAGGATGCATTTTTATTCTTAGTTTCAATGGAGAATGAACAGCCATGTAGAACTATAATTAGACACAAACGGTTATGACCTAATGGGAATAGACTGAATAGGAAAACAGCAAGGCTTGTCTATTTGGCTTCATCTTGGCCTGTCTGTGCAGTATTTCTTTCTTCCAGGTTATGGGGCAGGACCTCTTCTGGGATAGGGGTCTTATGACCTAGTGTCAAGCAAAGTAGGTAAGAGAATTTCTTTATGGTCAGCTCTTACACAGAAAGGCAGGAGAAGGTAAGAGTAATGTTTTTAGGCTGTATGACTGTCTTGGGGAAGAGGAATTCTGATTCCCATAGCCTGCCTTGTGGAAGAGGTATTCTAGTTTCTACGGCTAGGCTCAGGAGAATGAAGACCGTGAGACAGAAGGGCAGGAAAAGGTCAGAGAGAGACTTTGCTTCTAAGGCCTACACTTGGGTATATCATTTTCTAAGCCCCAACACCAAGATCGATGAAACAGAGTTGATATTACAGAATTTGTATCAGTTTCAAAATCTTATGCATACAAAGCTCACTTTATGACAATTTTCTTTCTAACCAATTGCAGATTTGGGACGTACAAGCCAATATTTTATACGGGAAACAAGTTTGTTTCAGGAATAGTAATTTTACTGCATACCATTATTAATTTCTATTATCTTAAGAAATATGATCGAAACAATTTTATGATCAATGAAGCCTAAAACACAAGTAGGCAAGAATGCTCCACTGTTCACTTAACAATTCAAGTAGATCAGGAAGGTTAATATTACAAAGCACCAGACACGAACGTAATTGAGTTTTTGTATGGCTCCTAGTGCTACTGATAGAAATCTATGAAAAATTTCCAAGTCAATACAAATTCAGCAGCACCAAAATGGAATGCCATGGTCTCAAATGAATAGTGGTCTAAACGTGTCTATAAATCAATAAGGAAAAGACTAATCCCTCAATATGAAAAATAAAGTATGGGCCAGGTGCGGTGGCTCACGCCTGTAATCCCAGCACTTTGGAAGGCCGAGGCGGGCGGATCACGACGGTCAGGAAATAGAGACAATCCTGGCTAACACGGTGAAACCCTGTCTCTACTAAAAATGCAAAAAATTGGCCGGGCATGGTGGTCGCAGGTACTCCAGAGGCTGAGGCAGGAGAATGGCGTGAACCCGAGAGGCGGAGCTTGCAGTGAGCCTAGATCGCGCCACTGCACACTCAAGCCTGGGGGACAGAACGAGACTCTGTCTCCAAAAAAAAAAAAAAAAAAAAAAAGAAAAAAGAAGAAAGAAAGAGAGAGAGAAAAAAAGTATGATCATAAACATTTGAGAAGACATTCAGCTTACTTGTATAAGAATCATGAAACATCTAACCACACCAAGCAACAGGTTTTTTCCCCTATCAGATTGTCAAATAATTAAAAGATAATAATAAAAAAACTGGGGGGAGAATAGACAGTCTCATATATTACTTATGGGATTAAATTTTATGGTGTATTTTATAGGACAATTTGGAAATATCTATCAAGTTTAAAATGTACATTACTCTCTAGGATGTTTATCCTAGAAGTATACTACCAATATGTACCTGAATATTTAGTGTATAATCATTTGCAACACCAAGTGCTGAGAAACAATTTATATGCTGATCAATTGGGGGACTATTAAGTATATTGTGATCAATATTCCGTAGCATAATTGGCAGGCATTTGAATGATGAGGTAGTTCTGCATGCACTAATATGAAATCATTTATAAGATATATTTTTAAGTGAATAAATAGGGCCAGATTTATGTGCATACAAACAAATATTGATGTGAAAAATAAGTAATGGTTTTACATACATTTGTATTTAAATAGAATATTTATGGATGGAATCACAAAAAGTCAGTAACAGCAAGTATGTTTCAGAGGGAGGATTGAGTGTTAAGAGGACAGAGTAGAATGGGGTCTTTAGTATTCAGGGTGTAAGCTTATGTCTATTTGAATTCCCTATAATATGCCTGACTTATTCAAAACACATGTTAAATCATAATGTTCATGAAAACATAAAGGAATAATAAATGCTACCTCTTCAGAGTCCTTGTAACTGTGAATTGCTACAAATAAGAAAGATTTGTAATTGTCATCAGATTCTCAAAGGAATCTCTCTCAAGTATTAAAAAACAATGCTTTCTGTTTTCTTCAAACTCCATGAATTTATATATGCCTGCAACTCCTTCTGTGTCTGCAGATTCTGTTAAAGATTTTTTTTTTCCATTTTCCTTTTTATTTCTTAACCACAGCACAGCCTTGTCTTATGGTGAGACGAACCTCAATGAATGTCTTAGAATACTTAACAGTAGACACATGGACTTTCTTATCATGTAAATATCACCCTATTCCCTTTATGATGAAAAGGACAACAGTGAGACTTAATCAGAAAACATGTATAGTGTATTGTGAGATGTAAGGAAAAAGATAATTTTGTAACTTCAAATAGTTATAATATCTACATCTATTTTTCCATTCATGTATTTTCTTAGAATTCTTACAGTTGCACAGAGAAATGGGGATCAGTAATGGGTAAATGGCAATTCAGTAAAAATTGACTGCTAGTGTTATGTTAGATTTTATAACACCAATAATTTTGTAAATAAAATTGCAGTAATATAAAATTCAAAATATGCTTTTAAAGGTGTGAATAGAATGCTCATGGGTGAAAATAACAATAAGTGACAATTTTGTGGGTCTAAAATGTATGCTACTGAAAAGCCATCAAGTAATTTCTGTAAAGTGTATATTTAAAAGGTAGAGGGAAAGTTGGCCAGATGGATTCACATCTTTTACTCTGCTAAGGTAAAATCATCTGAATTAAATTACAATTTTTTCCTTGTGTACCTGAGGTTTTACCTGGAGTCCACTGAGGCTTGTACCTGTGCATATGGAAAACAGATGCTCTCCTTCCAGATTACTGTATCCTCAATAAAACTTTGTTGCCTACAATCCAGAGTTCTAATCTAACTTTTCACATGATTACTGCTATGATTTGGATGATGATGCCTTTTCTCAGGATAGCCAAAATCAAAGCAACCTAAATGTCTTCTAGCATGTTTGTTGGGTTGAAGTTTTGCTTATTTGTTTGTCTTTTTATAAAGTTTTTATGCCCATAGACATATGTTTCATTTTTCTGATATGTGTCTTGTCCTTCAAGTCTTTTACGAGAAAGACATCCCTTCTCACCAAAACTCTCATTTGAAAATGGGCCCTAAAGCTAGAGCCTGACTCTATTTAATTTCTGTAGTCGTTAGAACTATTGAAATTTAATCTGTTTGATAAGTGCTCCCAAAGTTCTCTCACGACAAAAATTAGAGGTTCTTATTTTTTAATTGCATTCAGAACTAGTATAGTTTGTTTAAACCAATTTATCACGAAAAAAATTCTGTTACTTGGCACACAAAGTAAATTAAAAATGTTATTTGAAAAAGAATGATTATACATGTTTAGAATAAACTACATTTTTAGTTACATATGTAAAAACAAAAATACACATGTATAAGGAGGCGTGATGCCAATTATATATGTGTATTTTATATACAATATTATTTTTATTTTTTCTAATATAAATTATTTTCAAATATAAATTATGTTTGTTTTTTCAAATATTTCTGTTGCTTTATTCTTTCTTTTCACTCTGAAATTACAATTCTGTGTACGATACACCACTTAATATCATGGATTAAATTCTCCACTTTTTAAAAAAGCAATTACATTAATTTTCGCATTTTAATTGGAGTGATTTTGATTGATTTATCTTCTAATTTATTAAATTTTTCCTTTGTTGTATTGAGTCTACTGATGAGTCTGCCAAAAAAATTCTTTATTTATGTTACTGCGATTGATTTCTAGGATTTCCATTTTGTTCCTATAGTTTTCATCTCTCTGCTGAATGTATTTATTTGATCTTGCATATTGTCTATTTTTCTGATTATATCATTTGACATATTAATCATAGCTATTGTAAAGGCTCAATCTGAATATCCACATCTGTGGAATATCTAATTCTGGTTCTGATAATTTCTTTCTCTCATTAGAATCTCTTTTTTTTTCTTCTTTTGTGGTACCTCTTAGAATCTTTTTGCCAAATCCAGACATGTACAGGATGGTAGGGAATATGGTAAATATTCTTTTTTACATGTATAAGTTATAAACTTTTCTTTCTGGTAAGCCTTCATTGTGGGAGTTCACTAATTTAGCAATGAATTTGGCTGGGTTCAAAGTTTATGTTGATATGATTGCCAAATTAAAGGTCTTTTGTTTTTGTGGGCACAAAATACTTCAAAATCCTTCAGTAAAATAATGTTTTTGTTTTCTCACTTAGATTTAGGTCTACTCATTGCTCTGCTCTCCAAAGAAATTCTATTTCTTTCTTAGGCCTTGGCTATATCCCTCTATTATTTTTAATAAAGTCTTGTTACCAGAAGTGTTTGAAATGGGCTTGTCTTCTCTGATGTTCTGATTAAACCTCAGTCTCAGGCAGGACTATGAAACAGAGTCCCTTGGGTATGGCCATCACAAGTATCCCTAACCTTTCTTCACATAGAGCTTTATTTCCCTTTATTCCACTAACATACTACAATAGGTATCAATGTGTTCAAGCTATGAAACAGGTACTCTTTACAGTTTTATTTTAAGGCATGTTATTACCTAAGTGAGGTAGGGAAGATGACTCTGGGTAGATACTGTAGTGGGGCCTTACATTTGTCTCCCAACAGCTGTAGAAATTTTTTCAGTGCCCAAGAATACAGGTTTTTAATTCCTCTGTTGTTTTTTCCTATAACAAATATTGCTTAGATGGGTCTGAGCAGATTTCAGCAGCGACTGTTCTTTCCCTTCTCCAACAAGTACCATGGTGGCGGAGGTGGGCGGGGTGGGGGAGGGGGTTGTGTGAATTCCACTCAGTTCTCTCTTTGAGATATTGATGGTGTTCATGGAAGAAAGGCTACAAGAGATGGGGCTGATCCTATGTCTGTGGAACCCATGGGCCTCAGATTTTCAATCTAGATCATGCTGGGCTTTAAGCAATCAATTAAATATTTTTAGTTTAATCTTCCTATCAGGTTATATGACATGCTATAACGTCTACCTCAGGTAAGCAGATGCTTAGATTCTGTTTATTTTTCCAGATACCTATTTCTCTTCAAGTTGTGTAATCACAGTTCTCTGACTAGTTCATGAAAAACTGCTAATTTGTAGTTTGTTAAGATTTTGTCCTCAAATTAGAATTTAAAAATGTTCTTTCCAGCTGTTCACATCTGAGCTAAAACTGCACTTACAGATCAACTTTTATACTCCATAAAAGTTACTGTCATAAGACTACACTAAGGATCTTGCCATTTTTTATTTAGGGAAACTTGTGTTTGTTAACTAGTTTTCAAAGCCTTATTTGTTTATCTACAAAATGGTGACAATATTCCTTGCAGAAGACAGAGATTGAAATACCCTGTGGATAATAAAATAAACAAAGTATAAATGTCAGCTGGGAATCTCTGTCTTTTGACATTTGGTTAAAATTGCCCTGAATGTCTAACCTTCTCATGTATGGAAACATAACCTCTTACTAACAGCTATGTAAATTCCAAGAGGTCTTTCTATTGCTATTTTTCCACTGAAGTATGTCATACCAAATGTGAGATTTGACTTTGTTTCAAAATTCTTCTAAATTGGAGTTCTACTTAAAGTACAATGGAATAAAGTTCCTAACAAAATGATTCTCCTGAAAATAACATCTAAAATTCTGGACAAAGTACAAAATATAATTATGATTGTTATGGAGATCAAACAAAAACAAGCAGAGTTTTCAAAAGAGTCAGAACATCAGGCAAGAGATTGTAAGGTGAGGCAAAACTTTACCTCTACTCTCTTAGGGTCCTGCTGGGCCTGAGTAAATTGACATAAGATAGATTAACAGGAGAAAACACACTAATTTAATGTAAGTATTATGTGACAGGAGAGCCCTCATACAAAAAAAAAAAAAGAAAATGAAGACCTTAAAAAGTGACTAAACCTAAATGCTCTTTTATGAGGTTGAACAAAGGAAGGCAATTACAGAAAAGTAAATAAATCCTGAGGGAAGGCATAAGGAAAGCAAAAATTATTTTAGCAAATTCTGTTTGAACAGAATTATCTCAGCTATGACTCCCCATTGAAAAATATTTCTTTTCTGCTGGTACAGAGAGGATATCTTTTACAGGGAAGTTATCTACTGTGTTCAGAAAGAAGTGGGAAGATCAGAGTATCCTTCATGTATTTGGTATTTTTCAGGTGCTTTTAAATGAAAATGATTCCATACCAAGGTGGGGGATATTCTGACAAAATTCAAGACCATAGCGAAAAAACACAAAAACAAAAACAAAAAACAAAAAAACCTTTTACTGTTTTGTTTTGAGTTTTAGAGCAGGAGGGCAAAAGGTGGCTAAAAGTTTGATAGTACACCCTGTCTCTTTTCTGCACAGAGGAGCTTAGGGAAGTAGACTGAAGAAATCGGAGCCACTGGATACCTAGGACACATCTGAAAAAAAAGTACCAGAGAAAGGGCGCTTCTGATTCTCAGTAAAAGGAAACATCTTTGGTCTGATAAAGGCATCTGTACGTATATGGTACAAACAAAATTTAACTAATATCTATGGCATAAAAATTTTAAGTGCGCTAAAACAGAAGTTCCGGTTCAAGATGACTAACTAGAAGCAGCTAGTCGACACTTCTAAGGAGATGAATCAAAATAGTGAGTAAATATTTATACTTTGAATAGATCACTTAAGATAGCACAATGGAGTGCATCAGAGAAGTAATGAGAATCATGAAAAGCAATGAAGAATAAAGCAAGGATGTCTAGTGAGCTGGGATCTTGGGAAGCCAGGAGGAGATGCAGTGTGTGAGTGAGTGATTGATCTCCCTGAGCTCCACAGACTTTTAAATCCTAGCAATTGAAGAGCTCCCTCGACACACCCCCGACTTCTGACCTGCAGTCAAACACAGGGAGCTGCCTAGAGATGGGGCAGAGGCATTACTCAAGCCCATGTGGAATTCTACAGGCTTTTGATTCTTGAACAGCTGCTACTGTTACAGTGCCAGGGGAGAGAGCAGGAAGGCCAGGCATGTTTGTGCACCTCAAAGATGGATACTGCTACTGCTGCTGTGGAACAGAGGAGCCAGAAGACTGTGTACCTTACAACTGCCAGCCTTTGCTACTCCTACTAAGGCAGTGGGGAGGGGGGTTGGTGAGGGGCTGCCTTCCATTGGGGTAGGGCTGCAGCCAAAATGTTCAGGCAGGAGAAGAGTGGCTGTGCTGCAGTTAAATTCAATAAATGTTGCCGGAAAACTTTGATATGTATATGCAGAAGACTGAAACTAGATGTCTATCTCTCACCCTATACAAAAAATTAACTCTAGATGGATTAAAGACATAAATATAAGACCTGAAACTATAAAAGTACAAAATGGAAGTGAAGGAAGAGCTCTTCAGGACATTGGCCTAGACAAAGAATTTATGGCTAAAACTTCAAAAGCAAATGCAACAAAAACAAAAATAGAAAAATGGGACTTAATTAAACTAAAAAGCCTCTGCACAGCAAAAGAAATAATCAATAGAGTAAACAGCCTACAGGGTGGGAGAAAGTATTTGCAAACTAGGGACTAATGAACAGAATATACAAGGAACTCAAACAATTCAACAGTAAAAGACAAAAACAAAAACAAACCAACAAGCATTAAAAAGTGGGCAAAGGACACGAACAGGTATTTCTCAAAACAAGACAAATAAATGGCCAATAAACATGAAAAAATACTCAACATCATGAATTGTAAGTATAAGGAAAATGTAATTTAGAACCACAAGGATATATTGTCTCATATTAGTCAAGATGACTATTATTAAAAAGTCAAAAACAGGGCAGACACAGTAGCTCACGCCTGCAATCCCAGCGCTTTGGGAGGCTAAGGTAGGTGGATCACAAGGTCAGGAGTTCGAGACCAGCCTGGCCAATATGGTGAAACCCCGTCTCTACTAAAAATACAAAAATTAGCTGGATGTGTTGGTGGGCACCTGTAGTCCCAGCTACCCAGGAGGCTGAGGCTAGAGAATCACTTGAACCCAGAAGGCGGAGGTTGCAGTGAGCCAATATCGCACCACTGCACTCCAGCCTGAGTGAGAGAGCAAGACTCCATCTCAATAAATAAATAAATAAATAAATAAATAAATAAATAAATAAATAAAAAATAAAAAAGTAAAAAAACAGTCGGTGGTGAGGACGTAGAGAAAAGGGAATGCTTATACACTGTTAGTGAGAATATAAATTAGTATAACATATTTGGAAAACAGCAGTATGGAGATTTCTCAAAGAACTAAAAATAGAACTACCATTCGACCCAGCAACCCCACTACTGGGTATGTACCCAAAGGAAAAGAAATTGTTACATAAAAAAAAAAAAAATCTCCCCATGTATATTATTATTGCAGCACTATTCACAATAGCAAAGTCATATAATCAACCTAAGTATCCATCATCAATGGATACTTGGATAAAGAAAACATACATATACAACATGGAATACTACACAGTCATAGAATACTATCCATTCATGTGGCATCAATATGG
Source organism: Homo sapiens (assembly GCF_000001405.40). Lineage (NCBI taxonomy): Eukaryota > Metazoa > Chordata > Mammalia > Primates > Hominidae > Homo > Homo sapiens. Next base: position 103,965,392 of record NC_000003.12, read on the forward strand.
ATGGAGCTGGAGGCCATTATTTTAAGTGAAATAACTAAGAAACAGACAATCAAACACCACATTTTCTAAGTGGGAGCTAAACAATGGGTATACATGGATATAAATAGGGAAATAATAGGCACTAGCAACTCCAAAAGGGCAAAGGCTGGGACAGGAGTGAGGTTTGAAAAAAATTATCTACTGGATACAATTGATGGTAGCTGCAGCCCATCTGGAGTGGCTGCTGTGAAGACACTGGCTGCAGTGGAGGAGGTGGTGCTAGGGCTGTGCACTCCAGGGAGAAGAAGGCAGGAGTCAGAAATGGGTGGAAGCCACACCCTATTCTGAGTTGAAGAGGTGGGATCCCTGCCATTCTTGGGGCAGCTGCGGCCACTCAGCCATGGCTGTGGACCTGGGCATGCCTGTGATCTCTGGGGCCTGAGAAGCCGCCTCCCCCACAGGACGGAAGATGCCTGCTCTTGCTTCCTGGCCTCTCCCAGCTCCCAGCGCCCACTCAGATTTCAGAGAAAAGTTGAGGCCGAGCCTGGGCACTGTTGCAAGCCCGCAATGTGTGCACATTATTCAGGAAGTGCTGACATACCAGCCCCTTGTCACCACAGCCTCCTCCAGATTTTGGGCACCAATGAGCGTGAGAGGGAGGCTTAGTGGGGGGCTTAGGACAGCTCAGTGTGGGCCTGCAGGTGCCCCTTGGCACGAACAGCCTGGGTGCTGTGGGCACAGTGGATGGCACGTTGATGGCTGCAGGAGACAGTCTCCTGGGCAGAAAGGCGCCGGTCCTGGGGAAACCCCACCTTCAAGCCAGGGACAGCCTGAAGCCTGGGGGTCTGGCTGCAACTTCTGCAGACCGGACGGAGAACTTATGGTGCTTTTTTAAGGTCCACTCATGGCCACCCATGAACCAAACAGCATGTACTTCATTGCCTCTGAAGCTCATATAAATCTTGGCCTCAACCAGTCTCGGGCAGACAAGAGGATACCCTGCCTGCGGATAGGAGCTACCCACTCCTGGTCTCCTTTCAGCTGATGGCTGCAGAAGATGGGATGACCTGCCTGCAAATAGGAGCTACCCACTTTGGGTCTCCTGAGAGCTGTACTGTCACTCAGTAAAGCACCTCTTTGCCTTGCTTATGCTCCAGTTGTCCGCGTACCTCATTCTTCCTAGATGTAGGATAAAGGCTTAGGACCTGACAAATGATGAGAATGAAAGAGCTGTAACAAAAACAGGGCTTAAACATGCTTCTACCGTTGCTCACCACATTACGAGCCATGAGAAGGAAATAAGAGCTGTGGCCCTTTGGGGAGCATAGGCCTAGGGGCTGGGCCAGTGGTGTGACACCCTCTTTAGGACTCTGCAGTTTCTGGTGTCTCCAAGCTTCCAGGCACCACCGCATTTCTCTTGTCCAGATGTGGGTCCCCACAGCAGAAATCACTTGTGGTGCATCAGATCCAGCTGCAGGCTTCTGTGGAGCCAGTGCCTGGAGCTGCCTGCCCCACTGCAGCAGCTGGAGTGGTTGGCTCTACACAGTGACCAGGACCTGCGCTTGCTTGCTCATGTACCCCTTGCCACTCTGTGACTGGCTTGCCTTTGGCAGGCATAGGATCTGGGCTAGGAGTGCAAGTGTGAGCGGAGTGCAGCCACCAGGCCAAGTCACTGGAACAAGCCCAGTGGGCCCAGGGACAACTCAGGGAAAGGTGCCCCTGGCCATAGAGGTTTCTTGCTGAAAAAGTGACTCCCAAGGATCCCCTGAGACAATGTTCATGTTTGTGTGATGGGTACACTAGAAGCCCAAACACCCCACTAAGCAAAGACCTAAATAAGTTGAGATGACAATTTTCCCAAATTTATATATAAATGTATTATAATTTCTGTTAAAATTCTAATTGGCATTTTTATACAAATTGACAAAGTGATTTTAAAATTTATACAGAAATTTAAATAAACTAGAAGAGTTTACGTCATTTATTTTTGAAAGACAAAGCCAGAGAACTTACACTACCTGATTTTGAAGTGATTATACCGGTGCAGTAATCAAGAAAACGTGCTGTAGGTTAAAGTATAAAATACATAGATCAATGCAACGAGAGTTCACAAATAGCTTTACACATACATAGTTGCTGATTTTTTGACAATGTTTCCAAGGTATTCAATGGAGTAAAGAAAAATCATTTCAATAAATGGAGCTGGAAAATCTGTATATCCATATGGAAAAATTGAAACTCAAATTGTATCTTCCTCCGTGTACAAAAATTAACATGAAATGCATCATAGACTTAAATATAAAGGCTAAAATTGTAAAACTACTAGATGAAAATGTAGGAGAAAATCTTTTGCTACAGAGAGTAGGCATAGATTTCTTAGACAGAACCCCTAAAACACCAAGAATAAAAATAAAAAGTTGATAAAAACAGCAAGAATAAAAACAAAAAAATGAATAAATTAACTTTTTTTCTAAATTAAAAGCTTTTGCTCTTCAAAATGCACTGTCAAGGAAATTTTATAAAAAGATAATCCACAGAGTGAGAGAAAATATTTGCAATTTATATACCTTATAAATGACTTATTTACTGAATCTATCTATCTAGGGTTCTTATAACTCAATACAAAGTACTAGTATAATTTTTAACTAAGAAAAACAATTATAGTGGATAAAATAGTTCAATAGATAATTCATGCAAGAAGATATATGGATGGCAAGTGAGCACATAAAATGGTGTTCAACAGCCTTTCTATTAGAAAATGAAAATTAAAATCACAAATATCACTACAAGAATGGTAAAATAAAAATGACTGATAATTGTTGACAAGAATGTAAAACCACTGGCATTTCCATACATTGTTTATGGATATATATAACTATAAAGTTGAAAATGGAAGTTTCTTAAGTTAAACACCCACTTTCATAAAACTTGTCACTGTGCTAAGTCATATATGTCAAAACTAGAATTACGTTAATCATTAACAGTTGAAAATTAGTCATTCATTTGTAATATATGGGTATCATAATATCTTTCCTGTCATCTTACATTGCTTTTGTAAAAATTAAACAGGATAATGTATATAAAAGTGTTTATGAAGTCTAAGATGCTGGAAAACGCAGTATTAATGTAATTTATTGCAAAGCATACAGTATGGATAATAAAATGGATACTTGCTTGAGAAAGTATAATGATGTCTCAAAGTCTGGTTACAAACTGAAATATGCTCAAGGAAAAGTATTCATCAAGTGGCACTGCATTCGCAGATGAAAACAAATTGCTTATTTGAAGCAAATTATTATTATTTTCAGTATTTTTATGGTACTTTTCTCACTTACTGCTTCATAATATTTGAAAATGAAGAGAAATGCTGCTATACTCCACATAACATAATCTTAAAACTTTTTAGCTTCTTTAACTTTTTGAACTCAATTTAAAATACCTTAGTTTATTCCTCATTAAGTACCTTTTCATCTCAGTCACTCTGCTCATCTGAATCTCTACACCACAACAATTGCTGATAGATCCAGGCTGTCACCTGGCAGATTGGAAAAAGCACAGCTGTGATGGAGTAGAACAGAAACAGGAAGCTGAGCCCAGTAAACCAAGTTTCTGTGTTAGTTTCTTAGTCGATGAAGCACACTCTGCAGGCTTATTTATATGCATCTTAGTCTTTTCATTTTTAAGACAAAGTGATTGAACTAGGTGATCCCAGATGTACTTTTTAGTTCTTTCTTTAATTACCTATTGTCTAGGATAAAAAATAAAGAGAAGAGTGTAAACGTTTCATTTTCACTTGTGTCTGATACTTGTTTTTTTGTCCTATGATTTATAAGCTTTAGTTTTAATCATTAATATGGATCTTTATTTTGAAATTTGACACACATGCAGAAATGTCATCATTTTAAGACAGTATGCATTTATTCTGTTAATGCTGAAATTTCTCATTGATATTTTTATTGTTTTATTCATGTATAAGAACTTTCTTCATAGTCAGTATTTCTTGTATTTTTAAGAATTATATAGTATTAACTTATCTATTTATTAACAAAGCAAGATGTAATGGACTACTGTATTCATTGAATCTAAGTCATTATTGTTTGTGTGATAAACCATTACATTTTTAGACCACTATGAAATTCAAAACAAAACAAAACAAAACACTGCCAAATGTAGTGGCCATACCATTTATTGTAAGATATGTCACAGTTTCAGAGATGTTAAAAAATTAAAAGCATGTGCCTTAGAATCAAGAAAATAACTTTTTATTAAAACATACATCAATTTACTTTTTATTTGATAAAGTTGTAACAAAACCAGTCTAAATGTATGTTATTACTCTTCTTTTAACATTATCAGTATTTCACTCCCAGTCATGAAAACACTTGAAATGAGTTTTTAAATTAGGTCTCCAAAATGTCATTTTAAAAGAATCTTCTACAGTTTTTTTTTTTTTTAATGTACTCAAGGCGATTCCATAATATGTGTAATTTTTTAAGTGGTCTGACATATACTAAAGACTCTGTAGTGATGTCTTAACCAGTTACTTCTACTTGTTCTACACAGTTCCATGTCCACATAAATGAGAAATAGATTTCTAACTGTTCTTTTCCTGAGAGGCAATGCCTAATATATAAGGTGTGAAACTGCCTAAAAGATTTAATTCTTGTACAACTCCAATCAGGCCCAGAGACAAAAAAATTTAAAAGACATTCTGCTCATAACCCAATATTCCTTGAGATTTTTCACTCTTCAATTCTCTATAGACATATGCTTCTAAAATTGCCAACAGATCTCAAAACTCTTCTCTTTTATCTCAGCTAATCAATTCTCCTTTAAATTACTTTCTTTCCTACACATGGAGGCAACTTAAAAATACTTCTGCCTAAAATTCATTTATTTCCCATATCCCCTTAGCTAAATTGTACTCATGTTTTAATATTCTACTTTATCCTGCCTGTGAAGCTTTTTAAAAAATTTCTAAAACTTTGTTTTTGCCTTCAATTTATGATTTATTCTTCAAATTACAACATTCATCAAAATATATTACCATTATTGCTTCAAAGTAAAGAGTATTTGTTTTCTCTTATTACTGTAACAAATTACCATGAAATCAATGGCTTTTGACAACACAACTGTACTGTCTAACAGTTATGGAGGTGAGAAGTCCAGAATGGGCCAGAAGGACTGTATTCATTCGAGAGCCTCTAGGAAATAATTAATTCCCCTGTCTTTTCCAGGTTCTGGAGGCTACCTACATTCCTTGACTCATGGCCATGCATAAATCTCACCTTTGTTTCTGCTGTTCCATCTCCTTCTTCAACTGACCTTTCTGCCTCCCTCTTATAACGACTCTCATGGTTACATTGGGCCCACCCAGATCGTCAAGAATACCCTCCCCATCTCAAGATCAGTAACTTGAGCACATTGGAAAAGTCTTTTTATGCTATGTAAGGTAACATACTAGTAGATTGTGGGGATTAGAATGTGAACATCCTAGTGGGGCCACTATTCTACCTGTCACATTAACTTTCCCTATTGAACTTTGAGATTTAGAACGTCTTATGGCCTAAATTTTGTCCCCATAAAATATATGTGCTGAAGCTTTATCCCTAATGTGACCATATTCAGAAATAGGCCAATTGAAAAGGTAATTAAACTTAAACAGGATCATGAAAGTGGGGCCCTAATCTGGTAGGACTGTGTCGTTGTAACAAGTGGAAGAGACACTACAAGCATGTATACATGGAAGAAAAACCACGTGAGGACACAGCCATCTACAAGCCAAGGAAAGAGGCTTTAAGAGAAATCAACTAGCTAACACCTTAATCTTGAACTTCCCGTCTCCATAATTGTGAAAAAATAAATTTATGTTCTTGAAGCCACCCAGTTCATGGTATGTTGTAATGGCAGACCTAGCTGACTAATAAAATATGTTTACTCATTTTTTTTAAATTTTAGCATTTAGCTTAGTGACTACGCTAAAATAATAGGCAACAGATATGAAATCTATAGAAACAAACATATTTGCAAAGAAGTATCTTTAAGAAAACTTAAAATGATTTTAGATTGGCACTGAACATTTAATCTAATGCTTAAGCTGGTCATTTATTTTAATTACTTATGGTGAAAACCTTTTCCTATTTAGGGTAAATATTTATTCAGATGCAAGGTTCTTACCATTCTGTATCCTTTACAGAATGACAGGTTAAGGGAAATATTCCCTCCTATGCTATCAATTCAGGAATTTTGTGCATGTGGGTCTTGGGTCCTGGCTGTGCTCATTGCTGTAAGTGACTTCATGAGAGCTGGACCATAGAAATGAGTTGTTTTTCTGTGAAATGTTCTGACTACTAATTTTAACTGCTGTCACGGTCTCCGAAAAAAGTTATGCAAGCAGAGGCCGTGTTTAAATTTACCAAGGCTTCCTGGCATGGAGGACTTCAAGAGGGCCTGTTTCCCTTTCTTTCTTCCAGAATACAGTAAAAGGACTTTCAGGACAGTGGCACAGCCTCTCAGATAAGCGCAGGGTCTTCTTGCTTGGGGCTAACGTATTGGATTCAGCCTGTGTCCACCTGATAGAGCTGGGGAACTGGGAGAAGTTGAGAATGTGTCTGCCATCCCTCATCTAGATTTATTTTCTCTTTTTGAGACGGAGTCTCGCTCTGTCACCCAGGCTGGAGTGCAGTGGCGCAATCTCGGCTCACCGCAAGCTCCGCGGGACTACAGGTGTTCGCCACCACGCCCGGCTAATTTTTTGTATTTTCAATAGAGACAGGGTCTCGCCCTGTTAGCCAGGATGGTCTCGATCTCCTGAACTCATGATCCACCCACCTTGCCTCCCAAAGTACTGGGATTGCAGGCGTGAGCCACCACACTCGGCCCCCCACCTAGATTTCTTTAACCTATTGTTGTCTCTGGATACCCAAGAGACCACCAACAATCATAAACACAAAAAGAGAAAAACATTTCTAATCTCACATTTTCAAAATTGCTCCCATAAATCACAGATGATAATCTTTCTTCTTCATACCCTCTCCCCAGATCAAATTGATATGCGGTATGCACACTCTCCCTCTCACCATTAACCATTCTGCTCTGTAAAACTTCTCTTCATGTTGTCTTTCTGACCTGCGACATAGTCTACCTTCTGCACTGGGGCAGGGGTGGAGGGGCGGAATGAACATGAAATTTTTGTTTTAAGTAAGGATTCTTCAACCTGAAGATATGTTTGCTAAAACTCGCATTCATAAATATTGAGGGAACTTGCATGAGTATAATGTGGGAGACACTTATGAGAATGGGAAAGGAAAAATTGAACTCATCATTCTCTTTCATTTGTTTCAAAACAAGTAAATATTTTAAGTGTTTGTGAAATGAATGAATGAATAAATTAACTTCTAATTATCATAAAATTTAGTTGAAAAATTTCTAAAATTATCTCCCTGAAGTATATGTAGAAATCAGCTGCAGAATGGAAGTTTGATAAAAACATCTAGAGATACTTGATAGAGTAGTACATTCCTGTTATCTTCACCTTCAACTTTTTGTCTCAGAATTTTGCTTCTTCCATTAGATGTTTTATTCCTATGCCCTGATCTCTCCAACTTGAATCTAATAAATATGAAGCAGCTTGCATTTTAGAACACAACAAAATATTTTAAACTCTTTCAGAATAAAGTCAAGGAGAGGCAAGATGCTCCTTCTCATGTTCAAAGCACCAACATTCAGCCTTTTGAAATTACTTTATCTCTGTATTTCTTTACATTCAATTTGTCCAACATGCCTATAACTTATGATTTTGAAAAATAGGCTTACCTTTCATTTTCAATTTATTCTGAAATCTTAATTAATTGGATCATTATTTTATTTATTAATGGTTTGTAAATGTATACCCATAGCTTCCATGATTTCATTGCAATTCCATTCTTCACCATTTGATTCCTTTATTATTGTTATTATTATTATTATTATTATACTTTAAATTCTGGGATACATGCACAGAGCGTGCAGGTTTGTTACATAGGTATACACCTGCTGGGCTGGTTTGCTGCACCCATCAACCCATCATCTACATTAGGTATTTCTCATAATGCTATCCCTCCCCTAGCATCCCACCCCCAAACAGGCCCCATTGTGTGATGTTCCCCTCCCTGTCTCCATGAGCTCTCATTGTTCATCTCCCACTTATGAGTGAGAACATGCAGTGTTTGGATTTCTGTTCCTGTGTTAGTTTGCTGAAAATGATGGTTTCCAGCTTCATCCATGTCCCTGCAAAAGACATAAACTCATCCTTTTTTATGGCTGCATATATTCCACAGTGTACATGTGCCACATTTTCTTTACCCAGTCTATCATTGATAGACATTTGGGTCGGTTCCAAGTCTTTGCTATTGTGAGTAATGCTTCGATAAACATATGTGTGCATGTGTCTGTATAGTAGAATGATTTATAATTCTTTGGGTATATACCCAGTAATGGGATGGCTGGGTCAAATGGTATTTCTGGTTCTAGATCCTTGAGGAATCGCCACACTGTCTTCCACAATGGTTGAACTAATTTACACTTCCAACAACAGTGTAAAAACATTCCTATTTCTCCCCATCCTCTCCAGCATCTGTTGTTTGTTGACTTTTTAATGATCGCCATTCTAACTGGTATGAGATGGTATCTCATTGTGGTTTTGATTTGCATTTCCGAAATGACGAGTAATGACAAGGTTTTTCATGTTTCTTGGCTGCATAAATGCCTTCGTTTGAGAAGTGTCTGTTCATATCCTTCACCCACTTTTTGATGGGGTTGTTTTTTCCTTGTAAATTTGTTTAAATTCGTTGTAGATTCTGGATATTAGCCCTTTGTCAGATGGATAGATTCCAAAAATGTTCTCCCATTCTGTAGGTTGCCTGTTCACTCTAATGCTAGTTTCTTTTGCTGTGAGAAGCTCTTTAGTTTAATTAGATCACATTTGTCAATGTTGGCTTTTGTTGCCATTGCTTTTGGTGTTTTAGTCATGATGTCTTTGCCCATGCCTATGTCCTGAATGGTATTGCCGAGGTTTTCTTCTAGAGTATTTACGGTTTGGGGTTTTACATTTAAGTCTTTAATTCACATTGAGTTAATTTTTGTATAAGGTGTAAGGCAGGGATCCAGTTTCAGTTTTCTGCATAGGGCCAGCCAGTTTTCCCAATACTATTTATTAAATAGAGAATCTTTCCCCATTGCTTGATTTTTGTCAGGTTTGTCAAAGATCAGATGGTTGTATATATGGGGTCTTATTTCTGAGGCCTCTGTTCTATTCCACTGGTCTATATATCTGTTTTGGTACCAGTACCATGCTCTTTTGGTTACTGTAGCCTTGTAGTATAGTTTGAAGACTGGTAGCGTCATGCCTCCAGCTTTGTTCTTTTTGCTTAGGATTGTCTTGGCTATATGGGTTCTTTTTTGGTTCCATATGAAATTTAAAGTAGTTTTTTTCTAATTCTGTGAAGACAGACAATGGTAGCTTGATGGGGATAGCATTAAATCTATAAATTACTTTGGGCAGTATGACCATTTTCACGATATTGATTCTTTCTATCCATGAGCATGGAATTTGTTTCTGTTTATTTGTGTCCTCTCTTATTTCCTTGAGCATTGATTTTTAGTTCTCCTTGAAGAGGTCCTTCCCGTCCCTTGTAAGTTGTATTCCTAGGTATTTTATTCTGTTTGTAGCAATTATGAATAGTAATAAACTAGAAAATCTAGAAGAAATGGATAAATTCCTGGACACATACACCCTCCCAAGACTAAACCAGGAATAAGTCGAATCTCTGAATACACCAATAACCAATTATGAAATTGAGGCAATAATTAATATCCTACCAATCAAAAAAAAAAAAAAAAAAGCCCAGGACCAGATGGATTCACAGGCAAATTCTCCCAGAGGTTCAAAAAGAGCTGGTACCATTCCTTCTGAAACTATTCCAAACAATAGAAATAGAGGGACTCCTCCATAACTCATTTTATGTGGCCAGCATTATCCCGATGCCAAAACCTGACAGAGACACAACAGCAAAAAAAGAAAATTTTGGGCCAATATCCCTGATGAACATCGACGCAAAAATCCTCAATAAAATAGTGGCAAACCGAATCCAGCAGCACGTCAAAAAGCTTATCTACCAAGATCAAGTCCTCCTCATCCCTGGGATGCAAGGCTGATTCAACTTACACAAATCAATAAACATAATCCATCACATAAACAGAACCAATGACAAAAACACATAATTATCTCAATAGATGCAGAAAAGGCCTTCGATAAAACTCAACACCCCTTCATGCTAAAAACTGTCAATAAACTAGGTATTGATGGAACGTATCTCAAAATAATAAGAGCTATTTATGACAAACCCACAGCCAATATCATACTGAATGGGCAAAAGCTGGAAGCATTCCCATTGAAAACTAGCACAAGACAAGGATGCCTTCTCTCACCACTCCTGTTCAACACAGTATTGGAATTTCTGGCCAGGGCAATCAGGCAAGAGAAAGAAATAAAAAAATAGGAAGAGAGGAAGTCACATTGTCTCTCTTTGCAAATGACATGATTGTATGTTTAGAAATACCCATCATCTCAGCCCCAAATCTTCTTAAGCTGATAGGAAACCTCAGCAAAGTCTCAGGATACAAAATCAATGCGCAAAAATCACAAGCATTGCTATACACCAATAATAAACAGAGAGTCCCACTAATTCTTACATTTCAGGAACTTAACTAATATACCCTACTTCTGTGTTATTTATTTAGTAGGAAGTGCTTGTGTGAAAGATGTCATGTAAAAACTAAAGCAAGTATGAAATATGAAGATAGCAAAATATATTTATATAGTCAGCTGAAAGTTAACATAATTTATTTCTTGCTTATTAGAAATGGCAAACAAGGCCAACAAGCATATTTCTACAAACTATGACATAAATTGTAACACTTAAAAAATAGCAGTGCATTCTTGTGTCATCTGTTAAATGCTGTGCATCAATACAATTTTGATCAATCAAAAAGAATCACAGTAACTTTCCAACTAAGGTAACAACCATAAATAGTTTTACTAACACATGTTACTTCAATTTGAAATATTAAAAATAAATATATCTCTGCTTCACAAGGTAACTTTTTACTTATTACACTGTGTGTTAAGCTACGTTTGCAGAGAATTTTCATATAGTTCCAAATTTTCAGCAAAGCACATATGGAGTAAATTCTAATTTTAAAACCTTATTTTAAACACAGAGGATCTATTTTTAGGGTTTCATTCAGCTTTTTAAATTATAATTCTTAAAATTTATAAGTTCTAAATGTTAGAAGCTGAACAAATTAAGCACAATATTGAAATAGATAAATCGATAGCTAAAGCATAAGGATACTTCAAACAGATCTATAAAATATGCACAATTTAAACATTACTATTGAAAATAGAGTAGGATTAAGGTACTCTGAAACAGAACTCAATTTGGGAGACACATTAATCTCAGCTTGATTAAGAACGTCAAATGCTTCACCTTACTTTGTCTTTTTTCTGCCTAAACGACTGTAACCATTTATCAGTAAAACATTTCCACTCAGAAATTGGTATTTTAAAAATAGTTCTGAGAGTCACAAGACAAATACAATGTTAGAAAATATTAACTCCTAGGATGGACTTAAAGGGCAAAGTTCCTGTCCTTTACAAAGAAAAAAACAAGGGTGAAAGCTAACAGGACACGAAGAGGTAAAGGCTTTCTTGCAATGACTGAAGTGACAATGAATAGCTGACTTCCTGTTCACTCACTTCAAAGAATAAACACTGTAGTCATACAAGTCAGTGCAAATTCATATGCCCAAAGTCAAAACATACCATAACACTGGATGACTTAAGGCAAATATGAAATGCTTTTCAAAAATACTTATGTAAATCATTTTTATGATATCTTGAAAATAATAAACATTTAATAAGATGGTCAGTTTCCTCACATTTCACATTGTACAATTAGAATGCAGACCAAACCCCTAAGAAAGACTTCAGGTATTTTCATGCAATAAATTGTACAACTTTGTCATTATTTTCATAGTTTTAATATTCTATTTTAACCATTTTCAGCTATGTGATTTTTATGCAGTGAATTTGTGAGATCACTGCTTGCTAGTATAACTTTCTCTGACTTTCTCCACCTCTTTCTCTCCTTGTGTCTTCTCTCTTTTCTCTGTTTCTCTCTCTCTCTCTTTCCACATACATAGGTATATATACACACACATGCAGGGCTACTCAAATAAGTCAGTGTATTAATACGTTTCTATGTTGTATGACTCACCTAAACTCTGGATGGTTATTTCAAGCTTTAACTTCAGGCTCTGATTGTACTGAACTCTCTCTCTCGTGGTAAATAACCACTAAACTAAAAAATAAAAATAATAATAAAAAGAAACAGTACAGATGGAATAAAAAATAAAAATTGTTAAAGTCTGCTAACCATAAGAGAAAGGCAGAAACTATTCAAATACCAGACCATTAGAGGTCTTGTATGTGTGGAGGAGGGTCAGAGTCACTGAGAAAGCCTCAAATGTGAGACTCAGGGACAGAAGCTCAGCTTAATGTTGAGGCTGAAAGAGGATAACAGAGGATGCCATCACTGAACCACACGCCCAGGCTAACAAGTAGCTATAACAAGTACATGACAGAAGTTTTATTGGGGTAAGGATAAGAGTTTAAAGATACTAGCTCTCTGAGGCACAGAGCCACTAGGATTATCTAAAGCTGGAAGAAAAAATAGAAACATTGAACAAAAACCTCTGGGAATCTAGCCTCACTATAAGCATGGGGCAGTCAAGGAATTTGAGGTCAGTAGAGTAATTATTACAGCACAAGCAAAAATAAAACACTAAGCCAGCTTGGTTCCTGATTATGTTTACAAAAGCCTCCATACTAATGACTTGGCAAAAGAAGAAGCATGCCCATTTTGAGGCATAAACACTACTTAGCTCTCTCTTATTCATGTGATAAACAGCTTTCATCCAAAAAGTATGAAACAAAGTAAGAAATAATAACATATGGGAGGCTGGGCGTGGTGGCTCACACCTGTGATCCCAGCACTTTGGGAGGCTGAGGTGGGTGGATCATGAGGTCAGGAGTTCGAGACCAGCCTGACCAACATTGTGAAACCCCGTCTCTACTAAAAATACAAAAATTAGCTGGGCGTGGTGGTACGTGCCTGTAGTCCCAGCTACCCGGGAGGCTGAGGCAGGAGAATCACTCAAACCCGGGAGGTGGAGGTTGTGTTAGCCAAGATCGCACCACTGCACTCCAGCCTGGGCAACAGAGCAAGACTCTGTCTCAAAATAGTAATAAAAATATTAATAACATATGGGACACAAGTGATGAGAAATCAACTAAAGCAGACTCAGATATGATCAAGATATTGGGGCTTTCATACAGGGAATTTAAAATACTATGACTAATACATCAAAGTCTATAGTGAAAAAGATAACCAATGTGTAAAAAAAGATAGGAAATATCAAAAAGTAATGGAAACTATAAGTAGTGATAAAAATTACATGCTGGAAAAAAATTATGTGCTATAAAATTTTTAAATGCAATGGTACAGAAATGTAGAATGCTTTCAATGGGATTGTTAGTAGACTTGACACTCAATCTCAGGTGAACTTAAAGATTTAGAAATAGTATGCAAACTGAACACAAAGAGGGAAAAATGTGAAAATAAAACACAAAGAAAAGAGTACACAAGAACTTCAGGAAAACACCAAGGAGTGTAACGTACATGTAGTTAGAATATTGAGATGAAAGCAACAGAGCAGGGAAGAAAAAGTATCTGAAAAGATATTGGTCAAGAATTTTCCCCATAAGGAAGGTGTTAGGCAACAGGTCTATGAAGCTGAGAGCACATAATTAACATTAAATATAAACCAAGAAACAATCACAACTTACAGATACATGCTACATGGAATTTGCTGAAGTCCAGTGATAAAGAGGAACTCTCTAAGAATAACAGAGAAAAAAAGGACAGAATTCATCACACAGAGGAATACAGATAAAATTAATAGTAGATTTTGTGTCAGAAGCCATGCAAGCAAGAATAAAATGGAATAACATCATTATTTAAGTGCTGGATAAAAAGGACAAACTAGAATTCAATTCAGAGAAAAAATGTATATTTCAAAAATAAACAGGCTATTTCTCTGATAAATAAAAATTGAGAGATGTTATTTACAAAAGACATTCTCTAAAAAAAAGCTCATTAGGTAGAATACTAGATACTGGACAAAAACTAAATCTATAAAATATATGAAGAACACTGAAATGGTTTAATTCATAAGTATAAATCATTTCTATGCTTAATTGTTCTCAAGATAATCATCTTTCTAAAACACAATAGAATTAATTATGGGTTTGTAGCATATAAAAATACAATATGCTAGATAATTAACACAAAATATAGAAGGTAAGAATTGGGAGTATAATATTGGGTGACACATATTACTTAAAGGTAGATTGTGATTAATTAATGATGATTTTCATAAACTCTAGGATGGCAACTGAAATAAAAGAAGAATAAAAATCAAGTAATAGAGGATGAAAAATGAATATTTTTATATGTCATTGCCAATACAGAACTGGAGTGTGTGTATGTAATGTTAAGAAATTTTTTCTCTTGGTTCGAGAAGAAATGCATAGACAGTTTAGATAATCAGTACTTTTGCAATAAATCAGATCTCTGAAGAGAAGGATAGAAAACACATAGGGTAGAAGTTCAAGTACTTAGTGTTTAGTCTACTTTTTGTGTGTGTTTGTATGTGTAGATTATGGAAGTAAGAAAAAAAAACTAAAGAAAGAAAGAGGATACAGAAACATCGGGTTTTACACAACTGTTATAGGCAAGGAAAGAACATTTGAGACAGAAAGTATTCCTTTTTGTGATGTAAATATAATTTACACAAATAATTTTCTATTGGGACTATGAGTAGGTTATATATATGGTGGAAACTCTATGTTAGCATTATAAATGAGGATGAGAATTAGCTCATCGACTGACCGTGGATTAAACCAATTTTTCTAGATAAAATGGTGATGGAAGTTAGAGTCATATGAAACAGCTGTGTTTGCATCGAGAATACATCAAATAATTTATATGTTGACCTTAGATATCACTCTTATTCCTGACCCACTCAGGTCATCATACCTCTTAAATAGTAATTAAAATTTATTGAAAATGTCATTTTTTTCTTTTGTCTTTTTATTTGAACCTGAATGTCTCTAAGTCTCTGGCTGGGATGCATGCATCAGACTTTTACATGGCTTATATTAGTTTATATACCATGTCTTCTGTACACCGTTTTGGCCTGTTCTATCAGTTACCTCTAATTTGGACGAAAGGGTTCAAGGGAAGAAACAATATGAGAGGAGGCCTATTCTAGGATATTAACTGACAAATAATGGGAATTCAAAAAAATGTAAGAAAGACAAAATGGAGCAGGAATAACAGCTGAAGAAATAATATATTTGGGATACTTATATTTTTAATGAAACATTCATATGTTGATTTATGTAATTTGAAAGTTTTTTTCCAATAAACAGCAAATGAAAAGAAAACAATGAAAGTTTTCTAATCCAAATAAAGATCTCTGCTTGAAAATTAAAAATTCACATTCTAACCCTATTAATAAGAAGAGATTCATAAGTAAGTTGCACGTACACACGCAGAGGAAATATTCAAATAACACAGATGGAAGGAATCCAATAGCCATTCAAGGGGAGAAAAACATAAATAAATCTATAAACAAACAAAATATGCTACAGCTTTAAAATTTTCCTCTCTAACATTAAACTTTAGAAGACTACTGAGCAAGACCACCAAATTCCAAATAAGTGTTTACCATTTAAGAATTGTGCTCACGCCTGTAATCCCAGCACTTTGGGAGCCCGAGGCAGGCGGATCACGAAGTCAGGAGATCGAGACCATCCTAGCTAACACGGTGAAACCCCGTCTCTACTAAAAATACAAAAAATATTAGCCGGTCTTGGTGGCGGGCGCCTGTAGTCCCAGCTACTCAGGAGGCTGAGGCAGGAGAATGGTGGGAACCCGGGAGGCGGAGCTTGCAGTGAGCCGAGATAGCGCCACTGCACTCCAGCCTGGGCAAAAGAACGAGACTCCGTCTCAAAAAAAAAAAAAAAAAAAAATTGTGTCCAGCAAAATTATTATTTATGAATTTAGGCATATAAAATCTTTCTTTATGGAAACAAATGGAAAATATGATACACAGGTACCATTTGTGATTTAGGTTCTAAAAAACATGTAACAAAAACAATAAAAAAATCAAAATCATGACATCTCTGAGGAAACTATAGAAATGTCAGTAAAGAGAAGAAAACTTTGAAATATGTTAGTTTTGTTCATAACTCTTAAGTATTTTAAAAATAGCTACAAATATAAGCTTTAAGTTTTTTTCAGTAGTAACGAATATTGTAAAAAGTTTGTGATGAAATTTAAATTCTACATCATATGTTTAAAAATAGAAAAGCACATAGGAATATAGATATACCTTTGAAAAACCATAAATTTGAATAAAATATTGTTTTCCTTTTACCTTGAGGATTTAATACCTGCTTAAGAATATTTCTAGAAAGAGTTGAAGTAGGTTATAGGTAGAATTAAAGGAAAATTACTATACTCAGGAAAAAACATTATATATAAATAAAAAGTAATATATCTTTTCTTTAAAAAAGAGAAATAAAACATAACAAAATAAGAACTTTTTTAAAAAACAAAAATGCTATATTAAATATAGTAAAAGTATTTCTATTTCACTCTCCTCTCTGACAATAAGAATAAAAACAATAAATAGAAGTATGTATGTTGGGACAAAGGGGAAAGAGAGAGATTAATCTTAACAAAATTAGTGAAAATTAAATTCCAAAAGCAATTTATGAAGAACATAGTTAAATATACTTTTGCCTAATGGAAAAGGGTTATCATAAGCACAGCCATAGCTGTGTCCATCTATCTGTGTAACTATCTATCTTCTATCTATCAATGAATTAATAAACAATGTTTATTAATATTAAGGAAGAGATCAGTCTTGAAGAGGTGAAATCCACAACCCTTTGCAACAGCTAAGTTTAGATACAAAGGCAAGACCAAGGCATATTCCTGTGAACTTTATAGTATAGGAGATATAAGGAATTCAGGGTTAGGTGGGAACTGTAGAGACTGACCATTTTACCAAGACATGAGATTTCTGCCAGCTTGGGAGAAGGTAGCTGGAGTGTCAAAACTCAGCAGTTCAGTCACCACAGAAGACTAAGAGAGATGAAGGGAAGAAATGAGTTAGGGGGATAAAAACAGAAAACCTGTGATATATAGAGTGCTGCTGCCTGTCACAAATTTCTTCCCAATTCTGTAGGGGAAAAAAAAAAAATGATAATGCTGTGAACACCAAGCCAAATTTGAGCCCAGATTTGATAGAATTGGGAGAAATTACTTTTAATACAATTGAGAAATACAGACTTTTTTTGAACAAAATGACCAAAAAAATCCCTTAATATATAATATTTACTGACCAGAAATCCACAACATTAAAAATGTGTCATGAAAAGATAATTCTAGACACTATTTTTATGCCTATATTTAATATTCTGAGTAATTAATGTTCTTACATGATTATAACATCACTGAAAAGGTTTCTTCTTCCTTACCTACCACTTGCTTCCTTAGCTACTTTAGACACATTGTCCTCCATGCTATTCCTCAGAAATCTTAGGTCCTTCACACTTGCTACTCTTTCTGCCTGAATAAGTTATCTCTGCCTGGACTGCGAGAAAAAAGCAAGAGAAAATCAGAACAAAACTTCAGAGACTTTGCACTTCTTTCATTCACATACATTTTTCTAATTTGCGCTTAATGTACTTGATCATATAAACTTTCATGATCACCCTGTGTAATACAGAAACAATCTTCATAATTCTTTATTTTCTAATAGCACTTATTACTCTGTATGCATATGTGTATGTGTGCGTATTTGTAGAGGGTTGTGAGTCCATGTTTCTCATGCAGAATGTCAACTTTGAAAGAAGTTTTGTTCTGTTTTGTTCATTATTTGTTGCCTAGAAAAATGACAACATAGTGATTGTTCAGAAAATGTGTATGAATGGAGTAAAATAAAAATAAATAAAATAAAATAAAAATGTAAAGTACATACCATTAAAAATTAACAATAAAAACAAAATATAAATCACCATAAGAATAATTTGTGGGAGCACCTAAATCTGTTCTCAGAAGAAAATTTTATCCTAAAATGTTTTATTGGAAAATAGGATTAAAAAGTTAGCAAACTTTTCATTGTCATAAGCTAAAAATATATATATATAAATCTGTAATGAAAAAGCAGAAAATAAAGATACAGAGCAACAATAAGGAAATCGACAATTAAAACAGCATAAAAATGATTAAGGAAATAAAAACACAGTGAAAACAATACATTTTGGAAAACTTTTGAGTAAATCATGAGTAAAAAGAAAAAAGTGACAAAGAGCAATAGACAACCATAAGCCCAAAACCATCATCAAGAAAGAAAGGAGATAGAAAAGGAATAAAGATAAGGTTTAGAAATATTAGAAAATACTGTGAATTGCATAGTTCTAATAAATTTAAAAGCCTACTTGGTATTAGTAGTTTTAAAAGAAATATAAAAATTGTCAAGTTTGATCTAAAAATAAGAAACCATGTAGAAATCAAAATGATGAAGAAAATACATCAAGGCACATTCTCATTAAAGATCAATGAGATCTAGGTGGTTTCGTAGGTGAGTGTGAGCAAATATGCCATAAATCGTATAAATTTTATCTTAGAAAACATGTTTCAGATCACAGAAAAAAGATGAAAGACTAATTCATTTACTTTATGGCCCTGGCATAATTATGTTACCAAAACTAGCAAGAGCATTATTGCAAAAAAGGAAATCATAGTTCTTAGGAGCCAAGACATCCAACTCTCAGTAATGTATCATTAAATAAACTTCATCAATGATTTTTAATATATATATAAAATAAATATAACTTATCTTCAGGATAAAACTCTTAATATAAATAATAACAGGATATCTTTTTTATTTGATAAATGACTTCTACCACAAACCAAAATCAAATGTTATACATAATTAAGATACAATTTTTACTAATGCTAAGGTCAAAACAAGCATGTTCAATAAATTGGAGTTCTTTATAATTTTCAGTATGCTTCTTGAATATATTGATGATATATGAATACTTTATAGAAAATCTGGACAAAATAACAATGAGATGGTGAAGGGCTGTTAACATTAAGTAATAAACAATAATCTTTGACAGATTCTGGCTTGGGAAAAGCAGGTTCACAGTCATCCTATTTTTAGAGATTATTTCAGTTTCCCACTGAACAAATCCAAGCATAATATTAGACATCAAGTTGTTATAAGCTGCACAATAAAGTGAGATTAGATAATTTTACAATGAGAGCACTCCATTGCTAATTAATATGAATATGAGATATAAACAAATTGAATGGCTGGGAAATGAAGACTAGAAGTAAACATATGTTGGACTAAGTACTTATTTAAGTAGATTGGGCCTGGTATATGGAAATCCAACCCTGTACTAGAAAGGAACAGAAGGACGTCAGATGCTGATGCAGAAATATGGGTCTTTCAAAGCCTAATGGGTAGAGTGGTATGAAGAAGGCAAGGCTGAGATAGGTAAATAAATAAAGAGACCAGGAAGCTTTAATTCAATTTGAGGTAAACCTAACAATGGGGGAAGCCTACCCAAATCAAGGCAAAAGACTAATAATTTTTCCAGATATATGAACCCTCTAAGAATGGTAAATGTTCAATCTAAGGGCTCCCTAGGTACCCTGATTTGTCATGTGTTTTCTAAAATAGGACAGAATGTTTTACAGATATTCTACTGATGTTTTAATATCCCAATTTTAAAGCTTGTGTCCTTACAGTTTTCTAACTTCAGTGCTGGCCCATAAATGTTTGTATACTGAGAAATAAACAATTCTACCATCAGAACTATGAAGCCATTGATCAATTTTGAAAATGGAAGCTGACTTTCTCAGACAATTTAGGAAGCCCAAAACGTATAAAATCTAATTTTTCAGATAAATTTTCATTCAAAAATACTCCTTTAATATATGAAGCCATGGGCTTGAGAGGCTTGATCAGGGTTTGAAAGCATTTTTAAGGGCCAGATAGTAAATATTTTAGGCTTTGCAGGCCTTATAGTTTCCTATGCAGATACTCTGCTCCAGGCTGAAAGCAGCAATAGATAATACATAAACAAATGGTGTGTTTATATGCTAATAAAACTTTATTTACAAAAATGTAGCTGTCTTTGGTCCATGGGTCATAGTTTACTGAGAACACCTGAATTTTTTGTTTGTTGGTTGGTTTTGGTTGATTGCTTTCTATGAAAAAGAAAGTTTTTGCTGGATTTTTTTCTATATTTTTTCTTAAAGATAGAGTTATCTTCTGACAAATTCAGTTGCCTGAAATATAACACGGAAAGCCAGAAATAAAGCCACTCTTCCCAGTTCTCTCAGACTTCTGCTCTGCATCTCTGTGAATATCATATTCTGGTTTTGGGGTAGATAAAATTTTCTCAAGATTCTGTTTACTATTTCTTCTTAAAGCCTACAGTGTGGAAAGAACCCTAAGCAACTGAGCAATGTTTCTTTTTAGGAACTCTAATGACACCTTTTTAACTCTCCACAGCTGAAAGATTTTGTAAACAGAAAATAGTCTCAGCCTTGAATGTCTCTAATTCTTACCTATCACTTGATAAAACTCCAACAAGAGGAAATGATTTATACAAGTGATAGAATCAGTAAATAATTTCCAGATTGAGTACAGTGAAAACTAAGGATTATCAAAAGAAAAAATATCTACAATTTTCCAGACCCAAGTAAAGATCATGCACTTGTTGTCATTAAATTGTTGCTGCCGTTGAGACGACAGTATTTTTACTGAAATTATTGAACCGAGGGGAAAAAAACTATAAGATAATAAACTCCATTCCTCTACAATAAGTCAGAGAAAACAATAGAGTGGAAAAAAGCATCGAGTAATGAAGAGTCAACAAATTCTATTTAAAAAAATCTGGAAGTCTTGATATTGAAATCTTGCAAAAAAGAAAATGATCATATAAGGAAAAAAGTTAAGGTGAAAATGAAAGAGTAGAAGGGAAGAATAATCTCTTGGGAAGTGAGGGTGACTATAGTGTTATTGCTAGGTTATCTTACGAGTCAATATGTATTGTTTTTTAAACTAGGGAGAAAAAGCTAGATGTAAGTATAATGTAAACAAGATTACAAACTGATCAAATATGACTGACAGCCACAGTTGTGTCTTTAATTTTAGCCATCATTGTGGGTACATAGTGGCATCCAATTTATGATTTTAATTGGCTTGTCACTAATTAATAATAATTTAAAGCATTTTTCTTGTGTTTAGAAGTCATTTACATATCTTATCAACTGTCTATTCTTTTGCCCATATTTTAATTGGTTTCTATGGGTTTTTTATAATTTTAAAATTTTAAAAGAAACACAAACTTTTTTATGCACACATATATACTCATATAAGAAATTTACTTCAGAGTATAATTGTCTTTATTTTTTAAATATACTTTAATGAACTAAAATATTTAATGTAGATAAACTCTAGTTTATCAATTTTGTAAATAGTCCTTAAAACAGGACAAAATCCTTTATAAGGAATATGCCCTATTAAAAAGTCATGCAAACCTTTGATTACTTTTTCCTCTAAATAGAAGTTTTGGCTTTATATTATCATTTATGAGGCCCACAAATTTATTTTTTAGGTGGTATGAGGTAGAAGTAAAAGACAAATTTTTCCCACATCGATACACAATTGTTCCAATAATATTTGCTGAAAGATGGTGCTCTTTTCTATTTAATTGCTTTATTTTTAATTTTTTATCCATTTAACCAATACCACATGGTCTTAATTACTATAAATTGACAGTAAGTCTTAAGGTGAGATGTTTTTTCTAATTGCTTACCTGTATTTTATGCATGTGATAGGTATTATACATTATTTGCTTTTTTCTCATAAATTAGAATTAGACTTTAAATTCCTACCAACAAAAAAAGCTTGCTGTGATTTAAGTTGAGATTGTGTTAAATCTATACATTAATTGTGGAATTTGACATTTTTTAAGTCTTTCGATCCATGAACAAGTCTTTCCATTTGTTTTAAAGTTTCCTTAGTTTGTTTCAAAAGTATTTTGTAATTTTTTTTCTTGAACATCTTATATTAAAATAATTCCTAGATATACATTTTAAATGCTATTACAAATAATATTTTTATAATTTGGTTTTCCAAATATTTATTAATATTTATAGAAATATATTGTTTAATATTAGATTTATATACTATGGTCTTATTAAATTCACTTTAACTTCTCTGTTTGTGTATTCTTAGGAATCTCTGTGTAAATTATTATGCCATTTTAAATAAAGACAATTTTATGCCTCTTTTTCAGTTTTTCTTTCTTCCTCCTTCCCTTTTCTACTGTAAAAGGCCTCTTGTACAATGTTAATTATTAACGGTGATTCTATTTTCCAGTCTTACGGAAAACCGTTTAGCATCCCATCATTAAGTATGCTTTAGGTTTTTACAGATACTTTATACAGACTAGGAGTTTCTTTCTGCTTCATGTTTACTGAGAGGTATTTTTTCTCTCATAGTATCAAATTTTTTTCTGTATCACTTTTAATAATATTACAAAATTTTTACATGTTCTATCAATGTGGTGAAATAGATGGATCAAGTTCTAATAGCATTATTAATGTATACATATGATAAAGTTTATATATTTAAAGTGTACAATGTGACAAGTTTTGACATATGTATAAGCCTATAAAATTGTCATCAAGCTAATGAAATAACTGGAAAGAGTTCCTTATTTCTCCTCTGAAAAATATTCCCACATCTTCTTTGCTTCCTTTTCCCAAACACCTGTCTAAAGGCAGTAACTAATCAGCTTCCTGTCACTATAAATTCATTTACATTTTCTAATGTTTGATATAAATGAGGTCATACAATATATACTCTTTTTATCTGGTTCTTTTACCCAGAAAAAGTATTTTCAGATTCATCTATGTTGCTGCATTTATCAATAATTACTTTCTGCATATTACTGAGTAAAATTGCATTATATAAATTTAATGAATTTTCTAAAAATAAGCATATATCTTCTATACATTATGTAATCTATAATTAATTTATAATGTAAAATGTTAAGATATCCTGCTTGGTATTTATTGAACTTTTATGAGTGTAGCAATAATTTTAATTAAATTTGGAAAATTGTTATTCACAATGTTTAATTTTTTTACTATCCCTTTTTTTTTCCATTCTCCTTGTGGGATTCTTATTTTTCATGCAGTGTGCCTCTTGGTATTATTAGACATGTCTTTGAGTCTGTTCATTTTTTATCTCCTTATTGTGTCAACCAGCTCAGTGGACTCTCTGCCTTTTTGCAAGGGCAGGGGGACCAGTGTGACAGCTTTCTGTATCCCAAGCTCTTGTCCAGCATCTTGGAAAAATCAGGTCACACACAGACTTGAAGGATGAATGCAGGACTTTTATTGAGTGGTAGAGGTGGCTCTCAGTGGGATGGGTGAGGAGCTGGAAGTAGGATGGAGTGGGAAGATGGTCTTCTTCTGGAGTTTGGTCATCCCCAGCTAAACTCCTCTCTGCATTCAGATGTTCCTTCTTTTCTCTCCTCTGTGTGCCATTCTGCTGTTTGTCTGCTCATGTCCTTGCCTTCTCATCTGCTTTTGGACCCTGGGGTTCGGGGTTCATATGGGTACAGGATGAAGGCATGGTGGGCCAAAAGGCAACTGTCGGGGACGAAAACAGGAATGCCGGTTCTCATTTAGGTCCCTGGGTATTCAGGCATGAGGGTGGAGACTCTGCCAGAAAATTGCCCTCTCCTACCCAGTATTTCCCTGTCTCTTGTCTGTATCATTTCCCCGTTCTGAAGAGGAACATCTAACCGCTATTAGAATATGGACAATGACCAATCTTAGCTACTTTCTCCTGACAGGGGGCATTTTTTGGGGGGAAATGGCAGTCAGCATTCTCCCAGAAGTCTATCTAAGGGTTCCTGGCAAAAGGGAGCCATTGTCTGAGGCTCCAGTTGCCTGACTGTTTGGAGTTTGATGGCCTGTATGTGAGAGAGAATAAAACAAGTTTTATGTATCCATGGTTAAACGTGTATTATACAAGGAAAGAATCTAGTGCCAAAGGAAAGAATCTAGTGCCAAAGATTACAGAAATAAGAAGTGAAATATACTAACAACATTGTGCCCTAAGCTGTTTCACTCTGGTGAAAGAAATTAAAACTTGTATGGAAATGGTTAAACTTTAGAAGAGAGATAACTGTTCTTGCCACATCTGTAGCAGTTAACAAGTGTATCCTGGGAATTCTGGGGTTTGTGGGCTTGCATGGTTGCCATTAAAGCTTCTGCCTCTTTCGTGTGTCCCCCTATCTCTATTGTAAAAAACCAAGGTGGCTACTTTCAGGAGGTCCTCTAAAATAGTATCTGGTCCCAGGCCCCATTTCTGCAACTTCCTCCTGATATCAGGGACTGGCTGACTAATACGTTTATCCTTTAGGATTAGTTGCCCCTCAATGGAATTATGAGATGGAGAGATGTGCTTTACCAAGGCCCCTCTTAGCCTCTCCAGGAAGTCAGTGAGGTTTTTTTTTAATTAAATCCTTGGTCTATCATGGATAACTTAGTATAATTGAGAGGCATGTATCTAATCCTACATAAGCCCTCAATTACGCACATCTCAAAGTGTCTCCTCCTCCAGTCTCCCATCTCACTGATATCCATTCAGGCTCATTTATTGGTACTGCTTCTCTTCCAGCTGGTTAAAGTTCAGCCCTTTCTCTGATGCTATATGGGATATGAAGCTCATCCCCAAATCTCTCTGTGCTTGCAGAGAAGCTTGCTTCTTAGTGTCCATCAGAGACTAATTCAAAAGTAACATAATGTCTTTCCAGGAGGTTCAAACACTTGAGTGAAATTCAGGAAAGCCTGTATATATCTGTCAGGGTCATCTGAAAAATTGCCAAGATCCTCCTTAAATTGCTTTAAGTCCTGTAGAGAGAAGAAGACCTGGACCTTACTGGGGCCAAATTAACCAGGCATATGTTGGAGGGGCAAGAGTGAGACTGGGGCTTGTCTAGAGTGATAATTTCTAGAAGGAGGCAAGCAAGAGACTCAAGGTGGAAAGGGAGGTTGGGGTGGACCTGGAGAAGGAGAGCTGGAGGGAGCTGGCGCCTCTGCTACAGTGCCTCTGAGATTTGTATCTTTAATTCCCTGGAATTGCCCCTTGCAGCCTTTCCTGAGATGGCAAAAAGGAGGGCTAGATTAATCCTACACTGTTGCCAATGTCTGGATTGCCCTGCAAGGTATAGAAAGCCTGCACATATGGAGCCTCAGACCATCAGTCCTCATGCTTACAGTAAAGGTTGTAGGATGGTATCAAAATGAATGGTTCCTTCCTGAGGCCAAGCCAGTCCTTTATAATTTGGCCAAACCTTTCTGCAGAGGGCTATCTGGCATTTTTCCTCCAGATTCTGAATGTCAAGGTAGTCCCAGTGATTCAGGATTACACTCCAGAGGAGTATAAGCTGGAGGTGTTGAAGACAGCTCGTTGCCCATTCTGAAAGACAGGGAATAGAGGCATCCCTCATTTCCTTTTCTTCTTTCAACAAAAACTTGAAGTGTGAGAGAGGGAGGACACAAGCACCCCGTTTTTCTCTTCTGTCTTTTCATCCCCGAGTCCTGGTGATCTTGGCAGGTGCTACCCATGGGTGCCAATGCGGCATGCACCCATAAAGCAGGGAATTCCTAGAGAATAGGAATTATCTGCCCTCACCTATACCTCTGTTTCCCCTCCTGTCGACAATCTTTGAGTTCCCGGAACCTCATTTATGCCATGGAGCTTGGCCACCTTCCATGAAATGGGGGTTTAGTTGGCAGGAATTGGTTCTTCCCAATTACATTATGCCTGTTGCCTGGTTTTGGATCCTCAGATCTGGTTTTCCTTTTTAGAGCCTCAGACTGAAGCTTGGAATCCAGTTTGAGACCAAAAAACTATTTCAGGGGCTGTTTGTTCTGTTTAGATCAAATCTCAAATGAGCCCTATCGAATTTGCAGTTATCAGCCAGCAGGGGACGCTCCTTCATTATTTTCCCTATCATGAGCAGCATGTAGGGGAAAGAAAACCCCTTGCTTAGTAAAGGAAAAAAAAAAAAAAAAAAGGAAAAGACAGCTTAAGGGGTGAAACGGGGAGGTCATGGGAGAAGAACCCCTTGCTCAGTACAAATGGGTTCTTTTCATCCTTGTATCCTTCTCTGGTTCAAACTGGGTTGAACTCCTTGGCCAGGGGAGGAAAAGTTCTACTGGCGCAGCACCTAGGAGGTGCTGGCCATCCGGTTGCATGGGTCCCCAGCGGCATCTGTGGTTTTCTCCCACCCCTTATAGCCATTGGTTCTGGCTTGTACATGCTGCAGACACGCTCAGGCACCCCAGCTACCAGCCACGAGGAGAGGAGGTAAGGAGGGGAACTGTCGCATGCGGGACACTGCAGTGGGGTGGGGGTGGAGATGGCACCTCTAAAAATAAATGGAAACCACATTGTTCTGAATTGCATTTCTAATGGCTGAACCAAGCACTCATTCTATTTAATATCATTGCCTCACTGTGTAGTAAACCTTTAACATTATACAAGAAGAGATAGGAGCCATTTCAAACTATGAAAGACGAGAGAGCACAGCAAAGTCTGGGGGTGTTGGCTGATGGAATTCAGTCTTGGGGCCTTCCAAAAACAAAAGATGCCTTTGATTGCCCCAGGGCTTTACTCCGGTCTCAGGTGATGGCTAGACCTCCATAAAGGAAAATAGAGTCAACATTCTCTTTACCGGAAGGAAAGAGATAGGTGGCAGGGTCTTGGAAAAGAAGCAGATCTGCATTTTAACTCACCCTTCTTTGTATCCCACCTGGAACCCCAAATGAAATGAGAAAGTTCCTTGATCCCCCTCAGTGCACATGTGACAGGGGTGTGGCTCGTCTGTTCAGTTGACACAGCTACTCAAACCCATTACGGGAAGGGGAGCACACAGATTGACAGGTGCAGGAGCTGGAGAGAGCGCCCCTAGCCTCCAGCTATATGGCAGCACCCAGGGGCGGGAGCATTCAACTCCCAAAGCCCAAATAGGCATGTGGTACAGTGCAGTCTTTTAGCCTTGCCATCCGTGGACAGCTTAAGTGTTAACTGGCTCAGTGGACCCACTACCTTTTTGCAAGGGCAGGGGGCAGTGTGATGGCTTTCTGTATCCTGAGCTCTTGTCCAGCATCTTAGAAGAATCAGATCACACATAGACTTGAAGGTTGAATGCGGGGGTTTTATTGAGTGGTGGAGGAGGCTCTTAATGGGATGGATAGGGAGCTGGAGGTGGGATGGAGTGGGAAGATGGTCTTCGCCTGGAGTTTGGCCTTCCACTGGCTGATCTCCTTTCCAATTGTCCCCAGCCAAATTCCTCTTGGCATTCATATGCTCCTTCTCTTCTTTCCTTCTTTGCCACACCTGTATGCCGTTCGTCTGCTCGTCTTCTTGTCTCCTTGTCTGTTTGTCTGCTTCTGGAGCATGGGGTTCAAGCTTATTTGGGTAGAGGATAAGGGCGTGGTGGGCCTAAAGGCAACTTTTGGGTGTAAAGAAAGGAATGCCTGTCTTAATTTAGGGCTGCGGGTATTCAGGCTTGAGGGTGGGGCCTTTGCCAGGGAACAACCCTCTTCTACCCAGTATTTTCCTGTCTCCTGTCTGTATCAGTTTCACAGCCTTTTATAAGCTATTCTCAGTCCATCCTTTTTGGAGTTTCAGCATATATAAGCACAGCTTACTAAAAGAACGAATACTTAAATATAGCCCTAAGCACATTTTCAGAGCTTTTACTTTGCAACTCCTTCTGTAGTAACTGCCCCTTAAATCTTCCTCATCCTCGAAAAAACAGTATCTCTTTTCTTCATACTCAGTGAGTTTGTGGCTTTCTGTTAGGATCTCCTTCTCTGTGCCATATTCTGGAAAGTTCTCTATGGTCTCTGGGGAGCATGTTCAGTTCACTTTGCAAGTTATTCTTTGTCAAGGATCAGAACTCTTTATTGTTGATTACCAGAACCCTATTTTATATATACTTTGTGCGATTTGATTGTTATTTATAAAAATAGTAACTCTGTCATGGCTATCTCATTGTTTCTTATATCTACAAATTTTTGAAAGAAAATACTAGATTCCCAAGAACCCCATTTGAAAGAAAGGTATATTTACTTCCCAGAGTGAATTCTGTTTTCATATTGTAAAAATTTATATTAAATCGTTTTAGAAGGTATCCTAAACAAATAAGAAATGCATCATAATTACTATTTTCAAAGGGAAAATGAAAGAAGAGTGAACCATAGTGGGAAAAAAATAGTTATAGGCTACCAGAGATTGTGTAATAAATTTGCAAGTAAAGTTTATTTAAACAAAAAAGATACATTGCAATGTAAATATTAATGAGTCTTAAACTAAAAGTACTATATAATCCTAACACTTTGGGAGGTCAAGGCAGGTGGATTACCTGAGGTCAGGAGATCAAGACCAGCCTGGCCAACATGGTGAAACCCCATCTCTACTAAAAATACAAAAAATTAGCTGGGCATGGTGGCAGGTGCCTGTAATCCCAGCTACTCGAACGGCTGAGGCAGAAGAATTGCTTGAACCCAGGAGGTAGAGGTTGCAATGAGCCAAGATCGTGCCATTGCACTCCACCCTCAATAATAAGAGCAAAACTCCATCTAAAAAAAATACAAATCTTTATAAATGTTTAATTTCAAAAGGGTTGATAGAAGTGAAAGTGTTCTGAAAGTCTTGGGAAAATGGGATTGGATAGGAATTACAGGATGATGATTTTTGTCTGTCTGCGCTTACATGCACACACACAAATTTGTTATTCTTTACTTATTTAACATATGCATATGTTATATATATGTGTGTGTGTGTTTATGTGTGTATATCTGGGTTGAGGTCAGTGAAATAGTGGTAGACCTACTTGTTATTTGCATTTGTTTGTGTTAGAGGTGCTGGTTTTTAGATAGCTTTAATTTTTGTTTCTGTATATATATATATATATACACACACACAGAATGTATATATTTACATATATGTACAGAATGTATATATTTATATATACAGGAATATATATTTATATATGTTTATGTTTTTATATATATATATGTTAACAGAAACAAAAATTAAAGATATCTAAAAACCAGCAGCTCTAACACAAACAAATGCAAATAACAAGTAGGTCTACCACTATTTCACTGACCTCAACCCATGGCACTTTAATGCACATTGTCTATGATCTCTAATTCCAAAGCAGTGTTGTTACATTGAATATTTTAAAATATGTATAAGTAACATATATTTTTAATGTAATAGAAATTTATAAAATGTGAAACAAGGTAAATGCTATGAACAAAATATATATGTAAATATGCCAATTTAAAATTTTGTTTAAGTGAATGTGATCACAAGGAGGCTCAGATAAGCTTTATTTAACAGAAGTATATCACTGTTCAATTTTAATTAAAAAAATCAACAAGCTCAGCTAATCTGTTTGCAGCATTTCACTCTAGCTCTGTATTCACAAGTTTATTTCATTTATCAACTTCCTTTTTGTAACAGCAAACATGCATTGATTTATCTCATATGCAGCAGTTTTCTATGAGAATCTCTTACAGGTGCCATAGGTAGGTATGGACTTCCTCGTTAGTAGAACCAAACAGAGCCACTACTTTGCTATATGCTACAGATTAAGAATATGAAAAGAGGAAATAGAAACATCATGATATTTTTCACACATTATGTGAAATATTTAGAAAAAGCTATTAAAAATAGCTCTTTGCATATTTTAAGGAGAGTAGTAAGTGTGCATGTGTGTGAAAATGGATTAAACTGGCAGTTTGCTATTAGAAGTGACAGCTCAAATTCTTACTTAGATAATAAATAAAAAAAGTTTCAGTTGCCTATCGATATACAATACTGACACAATAGAGCTCACCATTGTTTAATAGCAGAGGTATTCATATTTGTTTCATGTGAGTCTCTTGGGTTTCAGATGAAGTTACTAAAGCAGTTTCCAATAGTAAACTTGTTCACACATGATGTATTCTTTCTTCCATAGGTAAAAGGTTTAAATCAATATTTCCCCACTACCAATGAAAACAATTTTATGGACAATGGGTTACATCCCCATTATCTAAATTAGTAATAAAGCCCTTCTCTAAAACAGTAAGAACTCAAAAACTTTCATTTTTAAAATGCTATATATGCAAATATAATAATTGTACTTAAAAAGTTTTAATTATAAATACGAAGTCAAAATAATTGGTCTAGGAAGGAAATAAACTACGTGGTGAAGACTTGCTGTTAACAAGCAAAATAAAATAGATTTCTAATCTGACATTTGTTTTCCCTTGCATTGACATAAATACAGGGAAATATTTATTTTGAATATACGAAGGAAAAAGCTTTTGTTTGTAATTAATAATTACAAAAATTATCTTAAATACAGTTGGAATGGTAAGGAAATATAGCAACAAGGTTTTAACTTTAATTTATTCCTCTCATTTAAAAGTTCCCCTGAAGAATAGTTGTACTCATCATTGCTACTTTACTGTTTTAAAACTTAGCAAATTAGGGTCCTAACCTATTGCTAGCTTCTCTGCTTAACTCAGAGATTTAAAAATTCATATTTTTTTCTACTTTGATTTCTGTGACCGCTAGTTTTGACATTTTTCCTATACATTTCTCACTGCACGTTCACAATGGCAAATTTCTTGGAAGTATGAGAAATAAGTAAATGCCGTTAAAAGGATTACATTGGTTTAGAACTTTACCTTTTGCAGCAATTTATTCCATCGTAATTTGTGCAAACCTGTGAAATAAGTAGTGACAGTGAGACTGAACTGTAGACAAACTTCTCAGTTTTCCTCACTGGAAATTATATTTTAAAAATTGAGTATTTTTAATCTGTTCATATAATTTGTTACTCCTCTGTAGTCATGAAAATCTCACAGGCAACATACATTTAATCTGTCTTCCTTATATTAGTTTTTTTTTTTTTTAAGAAAAATTCTGTTGGGAAAGGAAATTGTGACTAGTTCTCTAGAGGCAAACCAAAGAGGCAAGAAATAAGAAAATTGATAATTAAAGGAAAAAGTGAGATCAAATGCCTTCAGTTTCTTAATTGTAAAATTGAGCTCTGATGAAGCCAGCTGGTGACAAGTATCTTTTTGTTCACTGAGTACTTCATAGGAAGATGAATATTTTTATAAACCTAGAGGTTTTGTTGTTAAATATTGGCAAGGTTGAATTTTAGCTCACAAATTTTCATTTATGCCATCCTTTTGGTTTTGCTACTAGATCTTCTATAACATGTCCTTCTAACTCCTCATAAAAACCCATTTAGATTATAGTCATTAATGTGAGAATCCTTAATTCATTCACCTAAATCTTAAAGAAACTTTAATCATTTCCTACTAGTTATTTTTAAGGCAACTAACAGTTTCCCATTTATGTTTCTCACAATAAGCTACAAAATAGATATTTATATGTATATGTATCCCAAAGAGTTTTGAGCTATAGAAAAATTAATATGTTATGTTACTGGAAATATATATCACATGTGTGTATAATTTTGGAACTCAAAAGAGCATCCAATATGTTAGAGGAGTGTCTAATACAGCTGAGCGTGAAAATAGATGTAATATTTGTAGCTTTCTCAGTGCAGAGAGAAGGCAGAAGGAGAGAAGAAAGAAAAGGTGTTACCATTTTGAATTTTATGATTGAATTGAATTCAACAATTAAGTAAATTTGAAATAGTGCTTTTATTTATGGTGGCTCCGTTCTAGGAGTAACCTGTTCTTCATAATTTAACCTAAATTGTATTTAATCCTCTGACATCCCTTCTACCTCTCCAAGACAAAAAACTAAACTGTCATTAATTAGTCATTGTTCATTAGTTAATTCAATAATACTTATATAAGTAAAACTATTAATGTTTGATAAATGTACAAAAGAGAGAAATAGAACATTGAATGTATTTGGATTCTTATTTGATTCCAAGAGAAAAGAAGGGTAAGTTGATAAATAATTGTGATTCCTATAAGAAAATACCTAAAAGACTCCAGACCCAAAACATAATAGAACATTAAATTGAAGCTATCAAATTAATTAGTACAGCCATTATGAAAAATAGTATAGAGGTGTCTTAGAAAATTAAAAACTTAACTATAAAAATTAAATCTATGGCCATATGATCCAGCAATTCCATTATTGGGTATATATCCAAAGGAAATGAAACCAGTATGTTGAAGAGATACTTACATATTTGTTTTAACACTATTCACAATATCCAAAATATGTGATCAACATAGTGTCCATCTACAGATGAATGACTAAAGAACAATGAAATACTGTTCAGCCATAAAACAGAATGAAATCCTGTCATTTGTGGTAACATGGATGAATCTGGTGGGATATGATATCAAGTGAAATAAGCCACACATAGAAAGACAAACACTGCCTTATCTATCTCACTCATGTGGAATCTAAAAAAGTTGATTTCATATAATTAGAGAGTACAATAGCTGTTACTAGAGGCTGAGGAGGGCAAGAGAGGTGAAGGGGCAAGGAAATATTTGTCAACAGATACAAAGTTACAGTTAGACAGGAAGAATAAGTTCTAGCATTCTATTACACAGTAGGATGATTATAGCAAGTAATGTAGTGTGTATTTCATGATAACTAGAAAAGAAGATTTGGAATGTTATCACCACAAAGAAATGATGGTGGTTAAAGATGGTTATGGTAATTATCCTTATTTGATCATTATGCAATATATGTATGCATTGAAACATCACATTGTACGTCAATTATATGTCAATTATAAATTTAAAAATTGTGTGTTTACTATTATTATGTGTCAAATACAAATCTAAAAATTAATTAATAAAAATGGAAACTATAGGCCAGGCACAGTGGCTCATGCCTGTAATCCCAGCACTTTTTGGGAGGCCGAGGCCAGCGGATCACCTGAGATCGGGAGTTTGAGACCAGCCTGACTAACATGAAACCCTGTCTGTACTAAAAATACAAAAATTAGCTGGGCTTAGTGGTGGGCACCTGTAATCACGGCTACTCGGGAGGCTGAGGGAGGAGAATCGCTTGAACCCAGGAAGCAGAGGTTGCAGTGAGCTGAGATCGTGTCATTGCACTCCAGCCTGGGTGACAGAGTGAGACTCAGTCTCAAAAAAAATAAAAATTAAAAAAACCCTGGAAACTATATATTATGATCACTGTAGATATAATACCTGTGCTGATTAATTTATGGCCATTTACTCTGATTTATAATACCTAATTAAATTAATGAGAAATTACCTACTCTCCTTTTATCCAACTCTTAACATTTTCTCAAAGATGACATTTGTTTCTGACTAATGTGCTGTATTAGCTCTTTATGATTTTCTAAGCCATTTAATTTTACTTTTATCTTTTGTAATATTGTTTTACTATATTTTTCTTTGGACCAAGTAACTGAAACAGATTGTTGTTGGTAATTTCACATATAGAAATTAAAGTCAAATTATATTGTATTGAGAATTTAAAATTCTTTTCACCCACTTTCTTTTTCCAGAATAAGATTTCTAGGTCAGCATTATGTTCTTGTGATTTTTATTCATACTAAATATACCTCTAATGAAATGTTTCAGATTGATAACTTTGCACAGCAAAATACCACTATATTCAAATAAACCATTATTCACTTGTAAAATGATTTTCATTGTATGTAGTTTGTGTAGGCCTCTGATTGTAATTTAAATGAATTGATGAAAGGGAATTGTTTAATGCTGTTGTAATAGAAATTGTATTACTGGATTGGTTTAAATTTAAATTTTTCATTTATTTTTAGGAATATTGGCTTTCTAATAATGAGTCTCCCAACAAATACTTTAGTTAGTTATGCACTATTGTATTGGCAACCTAGTTTGAAAGAGAGGGAGGTATTCTGCAATTGGTTACTTCCTTAATATGATAAAACAGTTTTACTTGGATAACCCTAAGAAAAAGGGATTCATTTAAGAAAGTTGTTTTCGATTACTCAGTATCATCTTTCATTTTCAGTTATAGTATCTTCCCTAACCTCATTTCTACAGATTGTCTTATGGTTAATTTTCTTCATATAGCCAAATGTAAACCAAACAACCTTTTATTTTATTTCTCCTTCTTCTAAAATTAATTTAACTTTCTATTTTATGCAATTACATTCTTATTAATGTGTCTTTAAAAATCCAGACACATATATATTGGCTAGAGTCATGGTTTCACCTTTTTAGAAGGTTTCAATAGCTATCTTTGATTATTTGAAATTACTAATAAATAGAATAGAAGAAAATAATAAAGTCCTACCCAGATAGCAACAAAAAAGTAATCAAATTATTTTTCTAAACCATGAATATTAGACATTGATTATAAAACCCACAAACAATTTAAGAATGGAGCAATAAGATCACTTACATGTCAAGTTTAATCGCTTCATAAGTTTCCATTTATAATCTGTGCATTTATATGGTGAAATTTCAATATTCACAAAAGATTGAATCCACATACTTCAAAATCTTTGATGAGAACAGAATAAAATTGAAAACCTCTTATTGCTTTTTCCCACTCTGGGGGATAAAACTATTCCAACACTGAAAATTAAGGTTTTTATAACCTGTCATATCTTTTGCTTGATCAAAGAGCTATTATTTTATCATCTATTGTGAAACACTAATATTGTGAAAATATATTTCAAAGATATTCACTGTACTCATTTGGTCCTAAGTATCTTTTTTGGGCACATAGAGAAAAATGACTCTTCTCACTCACTTCTGGAGAAATCTCTATCTTGGTGAAAATATCAAATTAAGTGTTTCTGCTACTCTTTCAGCTAGCATAGGATTTCCATTACAATTTGTGAAATGATATTTTTTGCAAACATGTAAGAAATAATTAGTATTTAGGAAAATCTCCAATCTGAGCATTCATTGGCTGCTCTGAACCGCATTATACTTATTTATTTCCAAAAAATACTAGAATACTGCCCACAGTACAATTATGTGGTCCCAAAAATCTGACCCTAAAATATATCTAATAAAAGTCTTCATCTCATAATGATGGTATGCACTGGGGATCTATGATTCCACTGATTTCCCACAATGCAAGCAAGCAATCTTTTTTTTTTTTTTAAAGGAATGTCCCCCAAAACATATTTTTGCAATATTGGAAGTAATCAAAGAAAAGAGCAGCAGTAGCTGTAAGCCAAAACAAGGAAACATTTCAGCAGATTGAACATTCAAATAAACATTTTCAGGTAGAAATTTCTGTATTGAAGAAGCAGCTCAGTGCTATCATTGAACTGGTTAGATATTTCATCAAATAAATCTAGGTTTAATTTGCAAAATCACCACCATCATCGTTGTGGACTAAATTGCCATTTTTCTTTTTTTTTGCCATTATGTCAACTTAAATATTAAACACATAATTTTTCTTGTATTATGGAGATCAGGTAAAATTATCTATACTAGGGAAACTTTTAGTTGCCTTTAGTCATTTTTCTAAAGAGGAAGAAACAAGATTTTCAAAGAATTTTGAATATGTGACTCTCCCATTATGGGAAGGGAAAGTAAAGGGTCATATAAACATTTGTGATGACTTTCAGTAAGTCCTCTTATCTCCCAAAAAATGACCCAAGATGAACTCATTGATATCTCAAGTTATAAATTAGATGCTTACTCTTTTGGTTTTGGCTCAGTGCTTTGACTTTCATTTTCATTAAAATGCAAATCCTAAGGATGAAGCTTACTATTTTATTCACTCATTTAAGCCTTCCTGTAAACAATGGATATACAATCAATATTTGTTAATTCACACTGTCAGGTGATTTATTAAGAGAGAACATGATTGATTTTTAGAGGAAAAGAGAGAAATAATCAATTTATAGTAAGGCAAATCGTGCAGAAGGAGAAAATAAGTAAAATTGGAAAGGACACTCATAAAGACAAGTTAACTTATTTCACAACTTTGATCTTGATTCCAGAGAAAACAGAAGGACAACGTAAACTAAGTTCTGTATTATAGTACACTTTGTGATAAAAATGAGTATCAGAGATGGTTAACACTAGAATATATTTTTTATATATTGGTTACTAAATATTTCGAATGAAATATAAGAAGACACTTTTTTGTTGGACAGTTATATGAATTTATATGCATACATAGACTCTTATAACCTCTATCACTCAAAGGAGCTGAACAATTCCAACACATAAAGAATGCTTTGCATTCAGACTCTTTTCCTCCCCCATCCAGTGCAACCATTTATCTGCTCTATGACACTATGTTTTTACCTTTTTCCACTTAGTTATAAGTGGAATCATACTTATAATTGGCCTTTTTCATTTTAGCACAACACAGTTGAGATTTATCCGTGTTGTTGCCTGTGTACATAATTTTTTCCTTTTTGTTGTTGAATAGTATTTCACTGTGCAATGTTAAAGAACATAGTACACATGACATGTGTTAAAAACAGTAGGAAAGACTTTATTCCAGGGGAGCCCATTATGATATATATAGGAGAAACTGTAATGAGGTATTGTAGTAGGGAAGAAAGATAGGGTTTGCCTCTGAATATAGCAAAGACAAGTAGAGATGTATAGTCAAGGAGCCGGGATGGAGTCAGTGGATGGAAAATTACTAAGAGCAAACATTAGGGGTAAGGAGAATTTTAGCTAAACCAACTTGACAAGATTCTTGCTGAAGGTAGATGAGAGTGATTAGATATCAAGGATGAGGGATTGGGAATTTGAGCAGACATCAAGGATGGTCAGTTACCAACAGTGGGGCATTTTTGCTAAACTGACCAAGCAAGATTCTTGCTGAAACTGGATTAAAGAAATAGAGCCACCGGAAGCAGGATTGGAGCCTTGCCAGAAAGAGGATTCTGAGGAGCCTGACAAATGTTCTCGTCAATGGAAAGGGTCTTTGTCAGTAGATGTACCAAAGTCTATCCATTCACCCACTGAAGGACATCTAGACCTACAATTTTTAGCAATGATGGATAATACTACTAAGAACACTTATTTAAAGGATTTTGTGTGCATGTAATTTTCATTTGTCTAGGATAAATAACTAGAAGTAGGATTGCTAGGTCAATTAATTTGTAAGTCAATCAATGTTATCAATTGATTATCAGTGTCTATATGAATAACCAAAAGATGAATAAAACATTGTAATATTAATTCATGTATAGAAAGCACTTGACAAAATTTATTATTTATTTATTACACACAATCCCAGTGAATTAGAAGTCTCTCATTACATCAGAATCTACTAAGTGTAGCCTTTCTTTTATAAGAAGACATGGGTAGCTCTCTGGAGATGATGTATTTCCACTCATATTTTTATTTTTGTCCCATGTATCCTGATGTGCATCCAGTAGTTCAGATTCAAATTTGTTGTAATACAGGTTATAATACAAGTTAAATAAATAAAGGAGTAATAACAGAATATTAGCTCTTGTTCAGTTATTCCCAGGCTTTGCTGGCTTGGGATATATCTTTAAAAAAAGGCAAAACAGGAAGAAATTGAATTTGATGTTTTGAGCTATATAATGAAATAGACTTTTGATCTATCTCTTTTCAAAAGAATATATATTTTGCTTGTTTAGAAAGTCAGAGCTAAGACGATGCTCTATTTACTTAGCTGTATGACTCCAGGCTCTTACTCCATGAAACCCTAAAATTCAGCACCCAGCCACATAGTACTGAAAATGTAAAATTCTATTTTTGGTAGTTTAAACAGAAAAAAAAATCACAATAGCATGCTATTTAGAATTAGGGTATTCATTTCAACCATTCACTTAACAAATATTATTGATCATCTCATATGTGGCAAGAATATCATAAAGACTAGCATATTGTTTTTTGAATGTAAGCCATTTGATATTACTTTCCCCAATTAGTTGTTTAGAGCCTTCAACACCATTGTTATGCTGGTTATTACAGGATAAGCCAATTAAATATGTGTTAGTTCTGTAAATATTTTTAAAAATACAGTTGAATTTGCTAACCAATGGGTATATATTAGAGATACTTGGTACTATGCCGTTTTTCTTCTTCATTAATATGCACTCAATTTCACTCCTATCATCCATTGTTCTGCTCTATATTAAAGGAATCTGGAATCCTGAACACTTAAAAATTGAATTTTCTAGACCCTCCTGCCAAATGACTTTCCTGTCAACTGAATTTTAGTTAGTGTTAGCAGTGGGAGAATTTATTCACTTATGTATTTATATGTTTATTACTTTTATTTTAAAATAATTATATTTCACAGTAATTTGCAAAAAATAGCACAGAGAAGCCCAGTGTAGTCTTTACTCATTTTTTTCCAATTATCTCACTTTACATAATTCTGGTACAATATCAAAACCAGAGATTTGACGTTTATAAAATGTGTATATAGCTCCATTTCATGTTATCACATATGTAGATTTATGCAACAATCACAGGATGAAAATAAAATACAATTTCATCACCACCAAGATCACCCTCATTTTATCTGTGTATAGTCACTCCTCATTCACTCCTTCCTCCACCGTCCCCAACTCCCTCAACAATGAATATATTTGTCATATCTATCATTTTGTCATTTCAAGAATGGTATCTTAATGGAATTGTACATAATGTGACTTTTTAGAATTTGTTTACTTCACTCAGAATGAAGCCTTTAAAATCACTGATAGGATTTTGAGAGGAGAGAATGACTTCAGTGCCTTTGGTGTTCCAGAAGCACTCTCAAGGGGTGATTGCCAGAAGCTGCTGGCTACAGTGGCTTTCAGTAGCTCTGAAGGCTGGAAAAGAGAGCAGTTGCAGGCCTCAGAAGCCTTTGGAGGTTCTGATGCTGGCAGTTTCCAGCAGGGTCAGTGTCACATGTACCTTGAATTCTGGAAACACCGTCTTCCTTCCTCTGTTTTTTCTAGCCATCTTGGATGGGATAAACATCTTGAAATTATATCTTAGTTGAATATCTCCCTTTTTCTCCTTCTACTTTTCTAATACCTTTGTAACAAGCATTTAATATTTTTTGTATTAATTTCTTAGCATGACTTATCTTTCCCTGGGGGCCCTGATAGTGCATCATCAAACAGTACTGATGTTAAGGAGCTAACCATATACAGTACTGTAAAAGCATACTGATGGCAGCCATAGTGTTGCTAATATTAATAAAATAGTTGTCTTTATTGGGAATATATTTTATGCTAGGCATTTTGTATAATAGCTACCTTTCATATAGCTTACACACATAAGAGGCAATAAAAAAGTGAAGAAGAGCAATGTTATGCCAGCTTTGAACATAGCCTTTGGTAACTGTAGAAAAGCATTTTCCATGTGAATTTGATGAATAAAAAATTAAAGTCAATGCTGTAAGTCAAGTCTTTTGAAGCTAATCTGTCTCACATGACAACTCACTTAGAAGTCCAATGGCCATCCAACTGTCAATATGGTTAAGTTTTTGATGTTTAGTGATGGAAGCAAAACATGCTGCCAATCAAATGGCCTGGTGCTATAGTGCTCACATTGTAAAATGCTGCCTTGTCAGGAATTTCAGATGCCAAGTCCAATTCAA
Organism: Homo sapiens; assembly: GCF_000001405.40. NCBI lineage: Eukaryota > Metazoa > Chordata > Mammalia > Primates > Hominidae > Homo > Homo sapiens. The sequence continues at coordinate 104,005,244 of NC_000003.12, forward strand.
TATTCTTTAACTTGTGAAAAATACTTTTGGCACTATACTTTATGTGCGCTGAAAAGTCATTCTCAATATGAATAGTTTGGTGTTGCCATTTGAGGGCTTGTGCAGCTGGCAACATTTGTTTCCTACACAGCTTAGAATGACAATGATGCCAGTGGCCTAGTTTAATAATGGATTACCTTCTTGAAAGAAACTTTATGTTTCGCTTTGAATTGCTACATTTTTTACAAAGCCTTCTCTAAAAGAAAGAAAATTGCATAAGAAGTCCCCTGATTTAATAAAAAACAAAGTTTTATTCCTCTGGAAAAAAAATTGTGTATTTCTGAATAACCTTTAGTTACCTAAATCTTATTAATCTGTTACTGTGATTATTACTTACTAATTTCTTCATGAATTTTAAGTGATAACTCTAGCCTAGACCTTTCTAACAGTAATTGTACTTCATAATAATTGTATCATATATTTTATATTTATATTTTACATCATTTTTGTTTTTGACATTGGTTAAGTAATGTTGAATATGTATATTTTATATTCTAACCATGTGTATAAATTTCTTAAAGACAAATATTATAAATATATTGGTACTTGCATATACAAACTCTTGCACTAATAAAATCTTACACTAACTTGTATCTTTCTGTGTTTAAATATTCAAAATTAGAAATTTAATAATGAATTGAGAAAGCATTCCTGCTTGGACTAGAGAATTATGCATCATCAAAATATTCAAGCTCCTTTGATCGTGGATTCCATCTGGTTTAGGTGTTCTCTTTAGCTAGTTTCATCACTAGCTAAACTGGATGATATTTATTCAACAAACACTGAGTCTGTACTAATCCCCAGGAGGAAACAAAGCACTCAAAGTGACAAAGAAGGTCCCTACCCTCATAAAACTTTGATTCAAAAGATTATATATATATGAAAATATTAAATGAACAGATAATTGTTGTCTTATTTTAAATCTTAAAAATATATTTACCTTTATATATTTTATATAAAAAATAAAATTTATCATGAAAATGTCAAAGTCACAGAAGTATAATGATTTGAGGAAGAGTGATTTTAAATCAGTTAATAAGTATATCCTCTTTAGAAGACATAATATTTAAGCTGAGAACTGAATTAATTTTTAAATAACCAGCACATTACCAGCACAAAGTCCTGGAGGAAGGAATATGCTTGAATGACTTGGAAAAGGCAAGTGGGCATTGTTTGTGAGTGTGTGTGTGTGTGTGTGTGTGTGTGTGTCTGTTTTGTTTTTGAGTTAGAGTTAGTAGTTTGGATTTTATACCAAGAGCAATATGAATAATTTTTTTTTGGTTTTGTATAAGGAAGTCATCTTTTCTTATTTAAATTTATAATAAAGGATCTGTGTGGTGTTGTGAAAAAAGAATTGGAAGTGGCAAAATAAAGATTTCTTTAGTCCTGTAAAGAAGTAATGGTCGTTTAGAATGGTACCAATGAATATAAAGGAAACAGGCTCCTAAAAATATTTGCTGATGATAAGAGATAGAAAGGCGGGGGTGTTAATAAATACTTTAGGCAAACCTAATGGGAAAGCTCCTTAACAACGTTCAGAAAATTTCCATTTATGTCAAGCTTTACTAATTATAACTCAAATCTTGCTTAATGAAATCATCTCAACATTTACATGAAACAGTTATTCTCACCCTACTCTGTAGATGAATTCACTGAACTTCAAGAATATTAAGCCAATGTCTAAAGATCACAGAAATTTCTTTAAGGCAGAGTTTGTAATATAAGATAAAGTTTTAAAACCTGTGTTGACCATGTGGTAGACATACTACCAAACACAATTTGGATCAAGTGTTTTGGCAACTGGAGATTACCGAGATGGAAGATATTTTTAACATTTAAGTTGCTTCTAACTATGTGTAACTAAAATAAAATATTTTTGCTTTATGATACCAAGTAGCAAATTCCCATTTAAAAAAAAAACTTTCATAAAATCATTTTATATGTTTTTTTTTTATGTAGAAGCTTTAATTTTATTTATTTATTTATTTTTTGAGACGGAGTCTCGCTCTGTTGCCCAGGCTGGAGTGCAGTGGCCTGATCTCGGCTCACTGCAAGCTCCGCCTCCTGGGTTCATGCCATTTTCCTGCCTCAGCCTCCTGAGAAGCTGGGACTACAGGCGCCCGCCACCACGCCCAGCTGATTTTGTTTTTGTATTTTTAGTAGAGACGGGGTTTCACCTTGTTAGCCAGGATGGTCTTGATCTCCTGACCTCCTGATCTGCCCACCTCGCTCTCCCAAAGTGCTGGGATTACAGGCGTGAGTCACCGCGCCCGGCCTAAATTTTTTTAAATGACCAGAAAAACTCATTCTTCATCACCACATAATTTAATGCTATGAAAATTTGAGGTTTAACAAAATGTTCAGCAAGGGATTAATTAGCAAGTTAACCTTGGATAGTATTGATAATATTATTATATATGTTAGTTATTAATTATCAAGTACTTATTAAGCACTAGTTACTTTCCACAGTTCTTGCATTTAATTTTTAAAATTATACTATGAGATAGAAAATATATTGATTTTCTAATGAGGATATTAAGGCAAAAGCTCAAGAAACTTGGTTAAGATCACAAAGTTATACTTTGATTAACAGAGATGTGATTCCCAACTATATTTACTTCTTATTCATCATAAATACATTTTAAGCACAAACTAATATTTCAGCATTAATCTATATCCCATGGAAAGAGTTATAGTGGTTAGATTCATATTTGCTTTGAGTTGTTGAAAAATACATTTTTCTTATATATGCTTAATTCATTTTATTCATGCAAATATACTCACACCCTATTTAATAATACTTGTGGTATCATGTCTAATAGTGCCTCTTTTTTGTGGAATATAGAAAACCTAAAACTTTTTAGATGTATAGTCATAAAACAACAAAACTTAGTATCCAGAGCTATAAATGTTAAATTACTCATAGAAACTATATTTTGAAAAATGCACAAATTCTAAGTGTACAACCCAACAAATTTTTCCCAAGTTAATACACTCCTGTGACTGCCACCCAAGTCAAAAAATGAAATACTGCTATCAAACTGGAAGCCTCTGCCTCTCTGCCTCCCTTTCAACATCTGCATCTTCACTTAAAAATTTTATGGTTAGTTTTGCTTATTCTGGGTCTCTACATAAATATAACCATTTAGCATTCACTATTTTGTTATGGCTTATTTCACCCAACATTATGTTTGTGAGACCATTCAAGTAGTGCATATTCGTTTAGTTCATTCTCATATACAGTTTTTTAAATACGTGGCAATTCAAGCTCATATTCTACTTTAATTAACCATTTAGGTTGTGTCCAATTTGGGCCTGCTAC